>NC_000001.11:234517454-234668970 GCF_000001405.40 Homo sapiens
TCATCAGTCAGTCAAAGGCATGGATTTTAAATGCAATTACTGTGCATAATTAGCCGTTTCATCTTCAGTGTCAGTGAATTTGGAATTTAATCTCTGATTGCACAAAATAGAATACTAAGTAGCTTACTCAATAGAAGGGCTGGTTTCGTTGTTTGTTGGTGGCCAGATAATGTGGCCAAATCCCTTACAGCAGCCATCGGACAAAGGTTGAAGAGAAACGAATGGAGACAAGGCACTGACTCTTATTAGATGTGTAGGTGTCTTTAAAGACACAGTTCACAAGTCATCTCCTGGAAAATTCTGTCCTCCCCTAGCCCATGCCGGTGGAGCTGGTTACCCCCACCTCACATATGTCATTTAACACGTGCTGCACCACAGCAATCCAACTGTCTCCATGTCTACTTTCCTTACAAGATTATGAGTTCCTTGAGGGCAGGGACTTTTATACTTCGTGTTTTTACACAGAGCATATTGCCTGGCCCACCACAGCATTCAATAGATAAATGAATGAGTCAATGAATGAGCCACCAATTGAAATCAACTAGAGGCCAGATTTACAAAAATAAGTAGTTTATAAATAGTTGTTCTCTACATCCCTAAAGAAAAAAATGAACTATCTGGGCTGGGTGCAGTGGCTCACGACTGTAATCCCAGCACTTTGGGAGGCCGAGGCAGGCAGATCATGAGGTCAGGAGATCGAGACTATCCTGGCCAACATGGTGAAACCCTGTCTCTACCAAAAATACAAAAATTAGCTGGGCATGGTGGCGCGTGCCTGTAATCCCAGCTACTCCAGAGGCTGAGGCAGGAGAATTGCTTGAACCAGGAAGTGGGAGGTTGCAGTGGGCCGAGATTGCGCCACTGCACTCCAGCCTGGTGACAGAGACTCCGTCTCAAAAAAAAAAGAAAAACGAAAAAAAAGAAAGAAAAAATGAACTATCTAAATTATGTTAGCTTCTCAGTCCTCTTCTAAGGACTCAATTCTCAGCCGCAGTCCCCACCTTCAAGTCACCAATAAGTGATTTGAAAACAACACTTTAAAATGTATGAATAAAAATAGGCCATCAAGTTCAAGTGATGCTTCATGGATTGACCTTAATTCTGTTTCGGTCTATGACCTATCTGTGAAATTTATTTTTAGCTATTCCTGGAATATAAATTTCCTAAAGGCAAGAACTGTGTCTGTGCCATTCACTGCCATATCCTCAGCTCCCTGAACAATACCTAAACTACAGAAGTTGCTCAATAAATACATCTGGAGTGAATTCACGTGTGTGGCAGCCAGTGGGATAGAAGTTTGCTATTAAAAAATTATGAGCTACTTTCTTGTCTCCTGGGAAAATGTTTGATAAATCAACCATGAAAAGAACATACATATCAGAGGCATAAAAAGATTGATGGTTTTATTGTAATGATTTTTATACTCCAAAGAATAAAAGAAACCCCAAAAACCTGTATGGAACTCACTGCAGGAAAATTTTCCCTCAAAATATGTCCCAAGTATTCCCAAATAAAGTCTTTCTCTTGGCACCAGAGGAAACGCAGAGATGAGCATTGTGGCAGATCCCTAGCTCGCTCTGGGAGTCAGCTGGCCAAATCTAAAATTGGTTTGTTGAGTCAGAGGCAGGAGAGGAAAGTTGCCCCCGATAGTAGAGAAATTGGGTTAGCAGCAGAAATGGCACCTCCCAGCCCCCTCCCAGCTGAACTAAATGTATACTACCGCACGCAGAATGGACGTGTGTCACGCAGTTGTGATACGTGATTGTACATCCCTGCAGCCACCGCGGGAGTGAGGAGAATGGAAAAAGACAAAGACCCCACTGTGGTTTCTAAAAACTAGGATTTCCATAGGTGACATGAGAGATTCGTAATTCCCACATGAAGCTATTTGCCAAATGACTGATTCCAAAGCCTGAGAGAGAAAGGTTGGGTTCCCAAATCAGCACACTGTTTTCGTGATGGCAACAGAAACACTGGGAAACATGAAGGAGGATGTTCCAGTTTTTCTTGTGTCCAGGCCCTCAGCCCCAGACCCTTGAGGGAAGCAAAAGCTCTGGTTAGTGAACTGGTGTATGGGATCCTCAGTGAGGGCCAGGGAGGCTGTGCGACCACCCCAGTGAAGAATCCCGGGGAGCTAGAACAAGCGTAATGTTACAGTAGGTAGCTAGTCAAGTGTGACAAGGCAGGCGAGGGCCCCACAGACATACACCAGGAGTGTGGCGCGACCATCAGGTGATGGGCAGGTGGCTGTTAACCATTTCTCTAAAGTAATAATGAGTCACAGCTGGTGCCAGGGAAAGGCTGTCTCCTAATAGATAGCAAACGCCTGAAACTGATCACCAGCTTCACAGTAAGATCCCGGAAGTATGCCCTCGCATAAAACCTAAAGTCAAGAGGCAAGCTGAGCACTTGGTTTCTCAACTCACCCGCTTGGTCTTCTTCCAATTTGTGCTTTTTGGTTTTTTTTGAGATAGAGTCTCACTCTGTCGCCAAGGATGGAGTGCAGTGGTGTCATCTCGGCTCCCTGCAACCTCCGCCTCCCAGGTTCAAGCGATTCTCCTGCCTCAGCCTCCCAAGCACCACCGGCGCCCCCCGCCACACTTGGCTAATTTTTGTATTTTTAGTAGAGACGGGGTTTCTCCATGTTGACCAGGCTGGTGTCAAACTCCTGACCCCAGGTGATCCGCCCGCCTAGCCTCCCAAAGTGCCAGGATTACAGGCGTGAGCCACCCCGCCCAGCCCCTTTTTTTCTTTCCTTTCTTTCCTTTCCTTACTCTTCTAAAGCTTTTTAATAAACTTTCCCTCCTGCTCTGAAACTTGCCTCGGCCTCTCCTTCTACTTCATGTTCCTCAGTCGAATTCTTTCTTCTGAGAAAGCAAGTACTGAAGTTGCTGGAAACCCGTAGGGATCCGCCACAGGTACCTTGCAATAACTCGGGTACCTGCCACCAGTAACAGCAGCACAGACCTAGCACTTGCCAGCGCATATACCTCATGCCCATTATCACTCACCCTGTGTGTGCTTTTCTGTAGGTAGGTGTGTGAGTGTACTTGTGCATGCATGCACGTGTGTGCATGTGTCTATGTACGTGTATGGGTGTGCCTGTATGTGTGTGCGCGCACGTTTTTAAGCACGTGTCTATGCATGTGTATGAGTGTGCTTGTACGTGTGTGTGCACACATGCATATATGTGAGCACCTGTGTGTATAAGCGTGTGTATGTTTGGCAGTGTGACATGCGGTGAGGGAGGACGATTTCGAGGGAGGAGAGTTGAGGCCTAATTCCCAACGGTTATTTGCTCTTCAGTCTGAGACAAGTCCCTGAGCCTGAGGATTTGTTTTTCATCTATAAAAATGTGATGGTAAGAAACACTACATTGGCTACCCTGCAGAGATTATTAAAGCCCTGCCTAAATGGCAATGTACCGTGAATACGCTAACCATTATTAACTTTGTGCTTCTTTTTTCTCTTTTGCCACAGCTACCTCTGATCGTTAGACTGCGTGTTAGAACCAAATGCCCAGAGCTAGGGTTGTAAGCCACTAAAAATAGACTTGTGGGCTCCCTGGCAAGGGTGGGCTGGCTGTAACCCTCACATGGGATTGAGGTTGCTATGCAGCTTTGTCAGGGGCTAGGTAGTTTGTGTTGTTTCCACCAAGCTGTCCGCCCTGTCTGCGGCTTCTCTTGTTGTTCACCAAGCTGATATATTGATTGCTCATGGCTTCCCACCTTATCACTGAAAAGATGTGTGTTTGTAAACTGCATTAGGAACTCTCTCCAAAAGCTGTTCTGTAAGTGATAACCATTGCAGTGACTAAGGTGTACTAATCACTTTTGTGCCAGGCACTTTGCCAAGCACACTACAGAATTTATCTCATTTAATCCTTATGACATTCCTTAAAATAAATAATATTATCTCCATTTTATAGATGAGGAAACCGAAGCTTAGAGAGGATAAATGCTTGCCCAACAACACATAGCAATCAAGCAAAACTCAAGGGGTCTAACCCAGAGTTTTTGCTCTGAACCATAGTTGCCCAGCTCAGCCAGTCATTCAGTATCTCTGCCCACAGGGGACCCATGGAGTTTGGGAGAAGAGAAAAGTGAGGAGACCATATTCAGGATGTGTAGGCTGTATGTTAGGGTCAAAGGCTCCTTCCCACCTCCTTGCATGTGCCTATACTATTTTTCCCTCCTGGCTCCCACGGAAAAGAGAGTAACTCTAGTTAAATGCTGTCCCCAGGACAGTCCAGGTTCTCTTTTGGCCTGCCCCTTGCTGCTTCTCCATTCCTGCCATGGGATGCATGCCACCTTAGGAACAGCATGCCTCAGCTAGGTGGAGTCTAAGTGGAGTAGAGAGAAAAGAGCTCTCTTGTGGGCACTCAGCTAGGGGGAAAAAATTGAGCTGTGCTCAGGCGACTCCCCTAGAAGTGCACCCCATGATTACTGCTCATCCCCATGCTGCACACGGCTTGCTGGTCCTAGAGCTTTTTGCTCCACTGGACAGGGCAACGGGGCCCACAGTCTGCCCAGCCGTGCCCTGCCCCTGGACACTCATGGGCTGCTGTACTGAACAGGGCAAAGGCAAGTGCAGGGACATGGGTTCTGGCCCCAGGTCTGATGCCAACTTGGCCACACCCGCAAAGTCATTGGACTTCTCTGGACTTCAGATTTTTCTTTTTCTTTTTCTTTTCTTTTTTTCTTTTTCTTTCTTTTTTTTTTTTTTTTTTTGAGGCAGAGTCTCACTCTGTCACCTAGGCTGGAGTGCAATGGCACTGTGTTGGCTCACTGTAACCTCTGTCTCCTGGGTTCAAGCAGTTCTCCTGCCTCAGCCTCCCGAGTAGCTGGGATTACAGGCATGTACCACCACGCCTGGCTAATTTTTATATTTTTAGTAGAGATGGGGTTTCACCATGTTGGCCAGGCTGGTCTCGAACTCCTGACCTTAGGTGATCTGCCCACCTCGGCCTCCCAAAGTGCTGGGATTACAGGCGTTTGCCATCGGCCTGGTCCAGATTTTTATTTTTCAAATGAAATGAGAAGCTTGGGTTTCACTCTAAACGTTCTTTTCAACTCTGAAACCCAGCAATTCTGAATCTCTCTACTTCTGGGCAACTCTGTTTCCATTCTTCCGGGGTTCATGGGAGAGAACCTTCTTCAGAGAGGCTGATGCAAGAGCTCCAGGGGAGGGGCACTGAGGGCACATGAATTGTGGAACAGAAACAGCGATGGTTACAGCAGCTGGCAGAGTGAGGAAGCAGCGGTCTCGGGAGTCCCAGCCCGAAGGCAGATTTCCTGGCCACAAAAGCACCAACGGACAAGACTCCACCAACGGTGCCCCTTGGATGGTGGAGTCCAGCTGCCAAGCTCACTCAGGGGACAGTGGCTCTTTTCTCAGTCACTCATCATGGCACTAGGGATTAAGTGCATTTAATAACACCCCCACTCTGCATTTAATAACCCTCCAAAACCCAAATGACTCTCCTGCACATTGAAGCTGCTTAAACCATTGACTGTGATCAACTGCTATAGCAACTGCCTAACAGTCTGGAGGGGTGTGCACAGGGAAAACACCTCAACTACCACACATTACGTGTTCTTGCTGAGAGAGAGAAGGAAGGGACGTGAGTTCAAGGCTCCCTTTGCTCCTCGCAGATGGTACTTTTCAATGTAAAATATGCCAAGACGAATGTGGAGCTCAAGCTACTGGGACAGCGAATAAAGATGCCGGGAAAAGGAGGAAAGAGATTTCACATGGGCAACGGTTGACAAGTCTTTCTTGTTTGTGGCTTGCAGTGAGCAGTGGACAGGCATTCTCAGATCAGGTCAGAGAGCAAGTCATCAATGGGGGCAAATTCCAGTCGGGTCTTTCAACTGACCGTTTTGTTCAATGAATGTCACACTGTAACAGGATAATTGGAGGGTTTGGGTAAGCTGGTGAGGGAATAAGGGCTTTTCCTAAGAATGATAAAAGCAGAGAGGCAGCTCTCAGCTCTAAGCTGGCTGCCCTGTTTCTGCAAAAATAGGTCCTTTAACATGGAGAAGCAGAAATCTAAACCTTCTTAAATCCCCTCGAATGTTTTGAATAGAACAAACACCTATTTAATGAAAGAAATACATTTTCAAAGATCATAGCAACAGGACACACGAGCTGCTTGGTCACCTAAGTGTTTTTGGAAAAGGAAAAGAGCTATTCAGCATTAAAGATTCAGGAATGTCTGTTGACATATTAAGGAAACAACCTCAGGGGACAGCTGACAAGGCTCCAAGAAGCATCACCAAGGGAACAGTGACGCAAACGCATTCCGTTTTTACAGGCTGGCAGGCTGCCAGGTTCCCTCGCCTGACGGCTGATGTAATGCTAATCCCTATCTGGGTGAGCGTTGCTTAGATATCAACTCAAGCAGCTCAGTCAGTTGCAATCAATAGCAGGATCCTTTTATAGAAGATAGTAAAGGGAAAAAATACATGTGTGTGTGTGTGTGTGTGTATATATATATATATATATATATATATATATATATATATATAGAGAGAGAGAGAGAGAGAGAGAGAGAGAGAGAGAGAGAGAGAGAAAACCCCAGATTCTGGTGTTCTGCAAACCTATACATCGTACAAAAAAAAAAAAACATTATGCACTCAGGTGTCTCCATATGGAGTATAGCCAGTTGTCTAGGAAAGATATTGCTATTTCATAAGACCAGTTCTTTTTTTAAAGCATAACTAAAGAATATGCCTAATTCCCAGCTGAGCTAAATAATGATGGAAGAAAACAGAAGACATTAGGTGGGAATGTGAAAATAATGATCTTTTTCATTATTGAATAAATGGGCTGATTCCTTTTAAACCTATGCATAAAATATTACTTTTTAAAAACTTCTTTCTTCAAGACCACTGCTTTTCAGTTATTTTAGAATAAATAATAAGAATAGTAATTATGCACATTTTAATCAGTCGTGGATTGAAGGCTTATGTTAAGTGTCTCCTGTAATGTGTTGGCGGGGCCACTTTTCATTTTTTCTCTCAGGCATAGCAATTTTAACTGTCCAAGAGCAATAAAGAACTCATTCTAAAAACTCAATTCAATTATGTATATTCTTACTTATTTACAAGATTATACCTAGATGGAAGGAATCTATGTTGTCCTACACAAAAGACCAATAGCAAATACATCCTTGGTTCCAAAGCCTTCAGAGTAGAAAATATTCAAACATTCCCCTTGCAACCCACCAAAAAGGTGGTGTGGGGGTGGAATGAGCACCAACAAAGATAACCAAGCTATTTTTAATAATAATAAAATGAGCATAACTATGATAACATAGGGCAATAGACTTGTCAATCAAGCCCACAAGGATGGTAGTTACAGGGTAGAAATGACACATTATTAATATTTTATATGTTTATTGCACCTTTCTTTTAAGGTAGGTTTTATTTTGCTTTCAGCCTATAAGAAGTTTACAGATAAGCTTTATAAACCTTGTAAATTACATGAAAAGCTGATGGGTATGTACATATTTTTCTGGGAGAAGGGCTCATAGATATCATTAGATTCTCAAAGGGATCCAGGGGCCCCCACCCCAAGGTTAAAACTGGTGAATTCTAAGGAGTTAAAAATCCTTTAGAAATTTGATTTCAATTATCCCCCACCTCCCAGTAAGATAATTTATTTACAGGTAGAGAAAGTGGGAAACTGAGAGGCCAAGTTGCTCGCCCAAGTTCAAGGAAGCAGGCCGTCTATGATTATCTAGGCTGCTAGATGAGAAGGCCTCCTTGCTTAAGTTTCTATGGCATGCCCATTAGTCAGGAGCATCCCATTGGAGCAGAGCTCATAAGGGAAGGGCCAGGGAAAGCTTAGGATGCCTGCTGATTAGTTCAATTTCAACTCAAGGGACACACCTCCATTTCTAGCATCCTTCATACCCACCCAGCCTCTCTTACCCTCCCCACATTCCTACTGCCCAAAGTCTCCCTCTGATCAGGCCAAGGCTAAACAGAACACTCAACTGTAGTATTTTGAAATTGTAATAGTCTCCCATGAAAATGTAACTTTAGTATCACCTTTCTTTGATAAGGCAATGTTTGCTTCAGCATCTTGAAACACTTCCTGTCGGGCAGAAAGGATACAGAACAGGAAACAAGGGCGCAAGAAAATGAAGGAACTTCCCATTCTGTAGAAATTAAGATGCAAATTCAGTTCTCCAGACTCATAGCCCTGTCCATTCTATGTTACCTTTCAGTAGCTTGGCCTGGTGAATAGAGTCGTGTATTCTTTGAGTCCAGCTCCTCCTGCCTGGGGCAGAAGCTAGGAATGGATGGCACAGGGAAGTTAATTTCAGTTTTAAGTAAGGAGCTGAGAAATAGCCGGGCTTGAAGGCATGAAGATGAGAATTTCTTCCCTTTTTTGAAGCAATAATGTTTAATGCCATTTGTATGGTTATAAAATAATATTCGTTCATAGTAGAAAATTCAGGGGGAAAAACTAAAAAGAAGAGGAAGCAAAAAATACCTGAAATCCCATCTCTCCTAGATCTCACACTAAGTAAACAAATAAGTTGGTTATTAGGACTGGACCTGCCTCTTTTTGTGTCCCCGAAGAAGTCACAAGTGCTTGGTTTCTTTGTGAGGAAGATACAAATAATTGTTTTTTTTTGAGACGGAGTCTCACTGTCTCCCAGGCTGGAGTGCAGTAGTGCGATCTCGGCTCACTGCAACATTGCCTCCCGGGTTCAAGCGATTCTCTTGTCTCAGCCTCCCAAGTAGCTGGGAGTACAGGCACATACCACGATGCCCATCTAATTTTTGCATTTTTAGTAGAGATGGGGTTTCACCCTTTTGGCCAGGCTGGTCTGGAACTCCTCACCTCAAGTGATCTGCCCACCTCAGCCTCCCAAAGTGCTGGGATTACAGGCGTGAGCCACCATGCCCAGCCATGATTAAATTTTTCTTGTCTGCTTTACAGGGTTGTTCTATGACTCAAATAATATTAAGGTTTTGGAAATGATTTGTAAATCACACAGATCTCTATTGCAGAATTAAAGGATTCACACCATTATCCTTAAAGGTTACTTGCCCCTATCATATCCATAGCTACTAAAACTATCACCTTAAAAACACGATTTCCCAAGCTCACTCCCTGCTTCAGAAGTGACCATGGATCTCAATGGCACAAGATTTAAATCAGAGCATCCCTGGTCTGACTTCTAGGAGCTTTCTCAATGCCGAACTTGATCTTGTCTTTGTTGCTGCAAACCATGCTTCTCATTGACCTTTGATGCAAACTCTACCCCAACAAAGTAAATCTTCACATCATTGGCACATATACTGTAGGTTTTATATTCTGGAACTTCCTATATGCTTTCCCTCATATACGACATTCCAGCCCACCTAAAAATGCAGATCACTTCTAATGCTTCATTTAATATCATTTCCATCAAACAGCTGCATGCTGGGAAAAATTCAGAGCTAGTTTTATACATGATAATTACATGACATGTCACTTAAATTTACACCCATCTTCTGATTTTTCTTTTGCAAACTTTTGTCTTCATTCGCTAACTCTTTTTCTAAAATGGTTAAAAATAGATTTTGGAAAACATTGGACATGAATGTCATTTGTTGTGTATGAATTTGCTAAGAAATAGGGTGTACCACAGCTGTTATTTTTTCCACATAGCCTACTCAATCTGTCACGCATTTACTGTGTTTTATAAATATGTGACATATTTGGAAATATATTGTTCACATATCTTGCATGTTTTCTATTCAAGGCATGCTAAAAATATAGTATCAGTTTGTCAACACGGCTTTTAAAAACAAGAGCCCCTCATTTAAAAATTCCAAGACAGTCCATAGTTCAGACCAAGCAGTTCTTACGCTTTCTGTTTCTTACCTTGCCATGTTTATATGAGTCCCTGTCTCATATAAGTTGTATGTTAAGCATCTCAAATGCAAAAATATCAGATGTGTGACTCAAAAGCAAGGTGGTTTTCTCAAACTGCTTCATGTTCTAGAATGCATGTTTAACTTGATGCAAGAATACAAGAGAAAGAATGCAGTTTCTCTCTCTCTTAAGTGAATGTTCTTTCTGAAGAGTCAGCAACATCACCGTGGGATAGCGGTGTTGGGATGTCTCCATTAACCTAAAGCTTTGAGGTGTGCAAATCATAAACCGAGCTGGCTTCCGTATCATTTTAAACCCTTGTTATCTTTTCACGACAACAGCCCCAGTGTGACATTTAAATAATGTTGTTTCCTGGAGAATTTAGAACCCAAGCATAGCCTTGTCGATAATGGCAGCTTGGAGGGAACTGAGGAGAGGGTAGGACATGGGGAGGGTAGAATTTCCCTAACTGTTTTTTTAAAAAAACAAAAACAAACTTAATTGCTGTTTCTAAGTTAAAAAAAAAAAAAAGGCAATGATTAAACAAGGAAAATGAGTGGTGAGTCAATATTCTCCAATTCTTTATTTGTTAAATTATTTTCATTTTTATAAAGTACATCTGTCAGTTTCTTTTAAGTAAGGGCAAAATTATCCTAAGAAATCCGTAGTGTAGATCTCACATTTTTAACAGAAATAACCATTGCAATGACAGCCACTGTTATTACACTGTTATTATTTATTTCATGTGTATTTCCTGCATTAATCTGATCTTAACACATTATCGGTAGAGTCTCTCCTTGCAGGAGGGAAGCCTGCTCAGTGGGAGATGGATCTACAAAGCTCTCTCCCAGCCTGGACTGGAGCTGCGTGGCTGCCTTCCTTCTGTGCGGCTGCACGCCCCGGCTAACTGAGAGGGAATTCTCACGTGACCGAAGATGGCCCCAGACTTCCCACTATCTCACTTCCTTTGTGTTCCTTGCAGAGACACACAGGGGACTGTGGAAGTCAGCTGTGGAGGACGCTTGAGAGATTTTTGACCCAGAACTCAACTTTGGGGTAAAACTGAGAAGAACGTTGGAGGGGTCTCTTTCCCCTCGAATGTGTGCATAGAAAATGCAATTTTCCATTGTGCTGGAGAGACTTGGACTGTCTCTCAAGAAGGTCTTACAGTGATCATTAGAACAAAAAGGCATCTCTTGGCTATGTGATCACGCATTTACCTCATGAGATAGCAGCATATTATTAACCACCATCTCCTTAGCAATCCGGGCCAGGACAATAAGACTTTTGTACCCACAGTTTGTCCTCTCCAAGCCCTCTCAGCCCATCATCTCATTCTGCCTGCTCAGCAGCCCTGTAAGGGAGGACAGGAACTACTTCTCCCACTTTCTAGATAGGAAAAGGTCACCCAGCTTGTATAGGAGGAAGTGGAAGTTGAACTTAGATGTCCCAGCTCATTTTTTCTTTCTTTTAGCCTGTGTGCTCTCGTGATTGATACCTACCCACGCTTCTCTCTACCTCAACCCATTAAGACATATTGAGGGGTAAAAAGTGACCTTTTTCAGAGTGTGCTCTGCAAGAAACTTTGTGTCTTAACAATATTAATTCGTTTCCAATCACTAAATTCTCCGTACCAATCAGTTATTTTTCTGCTGTGTGCCTATTTCTCTGCTAAGCATAATGACTGAACAAAAAATATGTATGACAACATGTCTATCCACAAGTAGCTTATTCTGGTTGCCAGAATTCTAAGATGACCCCTGATGTCCCATGCCCTTGTGTAATCCCCTCCCCTTGAGTGGTAGCAGGACCTTAATTTGCTTCTAGCCAATAGTATATGGCAAAAGTGATGGGATATTGCCCCCGTGATGATGTCACATTATCAGGCAAAGGTGAGGGGATTTTTGCAGATGTAATTAGGATCTCTAATGAGTTGACTGTAAGTTAGTCAAAAGAGAGATTATCCTGGGTGGGTCTGCCCTAATCAGATGAGCCATTTAAAAGAAGATCGAGAGGTCAGACACTAAAAGCAGCAGATTCACTCTCTCCCTTGCTGGCCTTGAAAAAGCAAGCTGCCATGAGATCCGTAGCTTGAAAGAAATGAATTCTGCCCTGTGACCTGGAGTGAGGACCCTGAGCCTCAGATGAGACCCCAGCCCCAGCTGAAACGCTGATGGAGTCTTGTAAGAGACCCTGAGCAGACGACCCAGTCACTCGTCCCCACACTCGTGGCCCATGGAAGCTGTGAGTAAATGTGTGGTATTTTAAACTGCTAAATGTATGACAATTTGTTACACAGCAATGACGATCTAGGAGGGGGGGGCTATTAGCAAGTGTTCATAAAATCTAAGATTTGTAAAAAAAAAAAAAAAAAGAGGTTTTTTTTTTTAGCTTCTTGGAATATTACATAAATAAGATGCAGAGGTGATATGTAACACTAATAACTACACTGGTTAGTAGGTAGCAGGAAAACCAGTCTTGCCATTTGGAAACAATAGTGAGAGCTGTATTTTCTTCCTCTTTCTCTCCCTGCCTCACACATACAGTTGCCCAAACCATTGCTAATAGGCAGGTCCTATTGCTAACATCAGCAATCATATTTAGACACATCAGATAGCTATTCCAAGGAGGCATTTTTAATTTCTCTCCCAGCTAAAGCTGTCACCTTGGACAGGAAGCGGTGGGTTCTGTGCAAAACCACAGGAAAAACTTTCCCTAGAACACTGGATTTCAAGAGATGCCTATGCCCTTTCTAAGCTTGTAGACACTTTAAAGCAGTGCTGAAAACTGTGCCTGGCACTTAATGGGGACACAGTAAGCGCTCAGCAAATATGGAATATGCACAAGTAGCATCAGCTTTTGAAAATGCTCTTTGCTTTATAATGTCAGAAGAAGTCCAGGTGCAGTGGCTTGTACCCACAATCTCAGCAATTTGGGAGACCGAACTATTGGGATTGCTTGAGGCCAGGAGTTCAAGATCAGCTTGGGCAACATAGCAAGACCTTGTCCCTAAAAAAACCAAAAAAACAACAAAAAAAATTAGTCAGGTGTGGTGGCATGTACCTGTAGTCCCAGCTACTTGGGAGGCTGAAGCAAGAAGATTGTTTGAGCCCAGGAGTTGGAGGCTGCAGTGAGCTATGTTTGCACCACCACACTCCACTCTGGAGTGACACCCTGTCTCTAAAAAATAAACAATAAACAATTAATTAATTTTAAAATTAAAAAAATAAAATATCAGATGAAATGGTCAGTGTATTAAACACTTATCAATGGATTCGACCCTAAAGCTTAACTTTTAGTGATTCTTTCTAATATTAGCTTTATTAACCAAAGTGTGGGATTTTCCGGTTGCTCTTTTGACGGCTAGCTGATAGGATGAGGTAGGGGCAGGGACAGGAGAGAGTTGGGTGGGGGCAATGAAAGCCCTGGCCTGGCGGACATAGTTTCAGTCTGCTCTGCAGAAGTTAAAGTACGCCTGGGAAGACAAGGCAGATAACGTAGCACGCAACTGAGCTCATGAGTGGAGGAGAGAAAAGAGAAAATGTGTCTCTGTGGGTAACCCCTGGGGGAGCCCATTTTGCAGTAAATGCAGAAACAGTATTATTAAGTCAGGATGAGCGTAAGAAGGACTGCCAGAAATAGACCCCGCCCCCACCCCCCGCACCGCCCCAGGTCACTGCACCTGCCCAAACCTTGATTCTCTCCCTTGAAAAACAGGGACGATGATAGCACCTCCCTCAGCGGGCTGCTGTGGTGAGGATTCAGCAAGATAATCCACGAGGCTTCCAGGAGATGAAGGATGCTCAGTAAATATTTGTGATGATTATTCACAGAGATGAACCTAAAAGCTAAATGCCACGAGTGACTGGCTGGATGTTACAATGTCTGGGGAATGCTTCGCAGCCTGACCCTTATTCCAGAAAGTTCTGTGAGTATCCTCATGACCTCACTGAACGTCAGCGCCGACTGCTCTTACTTAACAGGGGAGAGCCACAGACTCTGCAGTGCGTGGCAGGCAGGGCCTGTCACTGTCTACTGTTGTCGCTGTGGCTGTAGCAGTGGAGGTGGCCGGGCCTTCTTTCCCACCTCCCCTTCTTCCCCATGGTCAGCCCCGCTCCCAGGCTCCGTCTGTGCCCCTGCAGCTCCCCAGCGGTGGCCTTTTTGTTCAGTGCTTCCTCGGCGGCTGGGACTCACCCTGATTTAAAAGCTCCAGACGTGTTCTCGGCAGCCCGGGAGCACAGGAGTCAAAGCAAGACCAGGAGCGGGTTGCTGAGAGGACGCCACGCTGACTGGGGATCGAGAGGGTGGCTTCCTTCAAACAGAGAAAGGAAAAAGCCCCTTGAACCAATCTGAATGTAAAATCCAAAAGCTATGGCCACCGCGAGGAAAACAACAGTCATGATGCGGGCCAGGAGGCCGTCGCCGTGGGAATGCAGTCGGCCCTGCGCATGTGGTGTCTGAGCAGGGCCCGAGACCTTCCAGGGAGGGGAGAAATACTTTTTGGCTGACTCTCCTGACTCTGTGTTTCCTACAATTCTACAACAAAGATCCAGGAACATGAGAAAAGGAAAATGAGAAAATGAGTCCTGTGATCCAAATTTAAGCCAAGAACAGGACAGGCAATGTGAGCCAAATAGAAATGAGGCCAAGAGTGCTTTCTTGGGGCCCCAGCTTTTTTTTTTCTTTTTTCGAATGCCCAAACCTGTTTAACTGCTTAGTGTGAACTCTAGTTCTGGGATACAGTTCACTATGGGAAAGGAAATTTAATTAGCACTGGCGACCTCACCTTCATTCTTAGGTCAATACAGTAAACTGGCATATGAATAGTGATTTCTACCAATTGATTCCTGAAGGAAAAGAGAGAGAAAAGGAGAGAGGAAGACACACACACCTACACACACACACACACACACACACACACACACACACAGAGACAGAGACAGAGAGAGACAATGAGGCACAGAGAAACAGGCAGAGACAGAGAGACAGAGAGACAGAGAGAGGGGAAGAGAGACAGAGAAACAGAGACAGAAAGAAAGAGACAGACAGAGAAAGAGAGACAGAGAGGCAGAGAGAGACAGAGAAGCAGAGACAGAAAGTCAGACAGAGAAAGAAAGAGAGGAGCAAGTGACATACTTTAAAAATTATTCTTGAGAGAGGTCAACCTGCATCAGCTGCAGAAATCAACAATCACTTGGCAGTGTCAGCTGTAATACATTCCCACATTGCATTCTGCACGGGCATTGACTATCTTGACCCACACTCTCTATATCATGTTCACAGTAACGTAAGTGGTCAGATTTCTACAATTAGGCCTTGCAAGATAATAATGACAAGCCGTATTCGTATATTGCTTTACTGTTTGCAAAGCAGTTGCATAATTATCATTACGTTTGGTTCCTCATGACTGTGCTGTGAGGAAGGCGTTCCTGTTCCCATTTTAGAAGTGAGGACACAAAGTTACAAGTGTCCAAGCCAGAACCTGATGCCAAATCCCATGACATTTCTGCCGTACTGGGCTCTGCCATGCCCTGGGAGGATGGCCACCTGCAAACACAACCTTTCTCCTAACAGAGAGAGAAACTGAGACGCAAGCTCGAGTAGCAACTTGATGGAATGGCACAGTGGGGACCACTAGCTCTTAGAATACGTCAATTTTGATTGGCTGAAATTGACAGGAGTATCTAAGACAAAAGATACTCCAGAAAATAAAGGGATCGGGGAGGGATGATGGAGAAGTGACCTTACGGTTATCATGAAAAGGGCTGTGTGTCAAGACAGCATTACACCTAGTGGGAATTGGAAGGATTTAGCTGTACTTTATGTCTCAGAATGTGCTAATGTGATTACCTCATATTAGCTATTATGTGTGCCCTATGAATAATGTCATCCCAGTGCTTCTGGAGAATAGGAGTGGAGCTGCAGGCCCTTCAAAACAATCCTAGGCAGAGTCTGAGTAATCCTGCACATCTGAATCACCAGCAAAAGACAAGTTTCAATTTGGATTCAGAAAATACATGATGCAAACCTTTCTCAGCCCTGGAAGGGAGGGAAGGCATGGGAAGAAGCAGGATTGGACTGGAAGGACTGGCTGTCTTTCCTGCGTGCTCTCCCTTTGACCTGCTTGGCACACCCTGCTTCCAAAATGGCCCATGTGGTTGACAGTCTGCAGGGATGTGAATAGAAACCCAAGACGTCGGGCTCGGTGCATCTCGAAGCAGGGCCGCAGTCTTAAGCACAAGACAGGCACATTCCGCTCACAGCATTTCTTTCTAGTCTGAGCAAAATCTTCCCACAAGGCCAAAATCCCAACGGCTGGACATGAACAGGGCGTATATGTTTTTCCCCTTCCAAGCTCTTTTGTTGCATTTTATTGTTTTTCCTACCTAGATATTAGGCTGTCTCCTTGATGCGAAACATCCTTCCTTTCTAGAATTTCCAGGAAGCACAATTGCCTCCCACATTTAGATTTAATGTAATTCAAACCAAAGTTTGAGGCTATTTCTCCTAATTCAGGAAAAGCTGTGAGCTTGGCAACCCAAATGGAAAAAGACAGAAAAAAAAAAGGATGGTAGTGGATTTGGGGGTGTTTTTCTCATTTTTGGTTGTGTGTGTGGCGTTTCATAAAGCGTATAGGAGAATTAAGCTCAAAAAGCAACTGCTTGGAGAGATAGAAACTCTTGTAATTCATGTTGTGCATAATGGATTTGGCAGGCCCAAGCACAGAAATTTCCAGAAGTGTTTGCGTGGCAGCAGTTCTTAGCCAATTCACATTTTTTAGCAGTTCTGGCCAGCTGCCCAGCCTGCAGAAAAAGTCTTGTATCTCCACAAGTTTGGCTGGCCTCACTGACGAGTTTCCAAACTGCATGGCAACATTGGATGAGCTGCTTTTCAAGTGCCAAAAAAACTCCTGCTACTTATATTGTTACTAAATACCAGATGTGCTTAATCAAGAGCGCGTGGGGCCAAACCTAGGGTAATCAAATAACCTATCATTAACATTTTCTAAAAACAAAAAATGCAATTGGAACACCAGATTACTGTTTTTCTTTGTTTGCTTTTACGCCCTATTACTGGAACCCCTAGGGTGATATGAACAGGACACGGGTGGGGAGGCCGGCTCTGAAGACGCTGTTTACAATCACAACCCTGCACATCTGAAATATGTGTGAGAAAGTCAAGGCCTGCACAGATTTCCTCTGGGCTCCTCACAAGGACCCTGGCCCCTGGCGACTCCCGCCCTTCAGGGGAGGGGCCCTGCAGGCAGAGGCTCACACCGCACTGAAAAACACTGGAAGTTTGAGGTGCACTGGAGTTTGACCTTGAAAGAGGGAAATGCAGAAAGAGACAGCAGGGCAGCTTTGGGGACTTGGCAAATTAGCAAATGTGCAAGAGTTGGAAGCTGCTGCTGCTGCTGCTGCTCGAAAAATACACAGAGATTCTGAAAGGCTGTAAGAGACAAGAGGATGCTGTGTGGCTTTGTTGGCGGCCCCAACTGGGCTCCGACTGGTAGATCTTGAAGTATTTCTTAATACAAAAATCTCCAATTCTATTTGGGTCCCTCTCATTGCTGTAATATAGATATTTTGTAAGTTTTCCGGGAATCCGATGGGAAAATAAATGTGGCTGGCAGATTCTCCCCCTTGCTCCATTCAAGGTCATTCCTGCTGTCTGGGCCTCCAGGGACCTGCTTCTCCAAACCTCTGTGCCTCCCACCTCTCTAATCCCCTCTCCCCCAGACTCACAGTTCTAAAGAGATGAAAAGGACATCTTTCTTACCCCAGGGTTGCTGGGTGACCCTGATAGATAATGTGTGTTGGGGTGATTCGAGAGCGAGAGGGAATATTGCAAAATGAAATTCTATAGAAGGAGATGGAACCTGCAATAAGAAATTTCAGAGTTAATGACTCTTCTGAAACTGTTTGTTATCTGCTTTAAGACAACCGTGTAAATAAAGGAATAAGAGACTCAACACTTCGAGAGTTGTTTTAAGAAACCTATTGCTAAAAATGTGTTATAATCCCACTGTACCTCGGATGCCATTGTGCCAAGCCAGACTCAGAGAGAGAAGATTTAGTGTTTCTCTGTTGCGTGGAGCCACTGGGGGGCTAAACTATGAGCTTGCTCTAATTAGCAAGGACATGCCTTGAAAATGTGTGATTTCAGCAGATGTGAATAGTAAAGTAATGCGGGGCTGGTATCTACCACATCTTTTGAACTTATCTTCCTAACTATAGTCATGGGTTTTACACATCGGATGCATTCCTGAAAAATCGGGTGTGAATCCGTATACAAAGTGGGATTATGTTTGAAATGTTCTGGGGATGCTCTGGACTTAGAGGAAACATGTATCAGTGAAAAAGTCACAGGGAAAGTCATACCCATCCCCGATTCCTCTTTGTTGGGTTTGGACGGGCCCTCAAGCCCTGGCGGAGGTTAGCATAAGCTGCCCCTCACTTTCACTGCTGGGCCATTGAAAGGAAAGGGCTGGTCCCCGAGAAGGGTCAAGGCAGGGCTATTTTGTTCTCCAGCAGCAAAGCAAAGAATGCTGGAGGAAACCACCCAAGCGACAAGCTCTGCAGAGGGCAACTGGAGGCTGAGTCTAAAAACAAAAGTGGAGGAGCCCATCTCCTTGGAGCTGTTTATATTACATAACTCAAATAAACACAGCAGTTCAGGAACAGTTCCCTTGGCGAGGGCCAGGACCATGAGAGGCCGACAAAGGGCGTCTCCTTCAGCCACCCTGGTCAGAAATGGCTTCTTTAAAACAACAATAATAACAATACACAGGGACTTGCCAGTCCAATTCAGCAGGGTGTCTTGAATACATCAGAGAGGAGTCGCTCTAATTAGGCCTTGTAAGGTCCCTTTATTTTCTCTAGCTAAGGAAATAAATCCTAATCAGAGAGCCCAGAAAGAAGCAAAACTGACACAGGAATGGCTATTCTCATGTGCAGAGTAGGGAAAGGAAGCCCTTCCAGTGGGTTTTCTCAGCACTCGAGAGCCGCTGTGAAGCTGGGCCAGTGCGACGACTGCTTCTTGGGCAATCGAGTAGTGGCTGGCTTTCTGTGACTTCAGCTCCTCTTCAGTTCAGAGCGATGCAGGGGCCGCCAGCCTTCTGGGAAGCATTGGGCAGTTTACATGGAGTCTGTGTGAAGAATAATAATTTAAAACAAACAAACAAACAAACAAACAAAAATGGTTACTAACTCAGTAAATGACCTCAGGCCTGCAGGCCCAAAGTCTGAACAAAATCAATCTTGAATTGAGAGCAAGGCAAGAACCTACTGAAACCTTTTTCATCAGTGCCCCTAAGTCTCCAGGGACAGCAACCCCTATCATATACCAGGGGCCGAGAATAGAAATAAAAATTGTGAACACAATCCTGAGCATGGGCTGATGGTACTAGCTGCCAACAACTGCCCCATTAGTAGGCTATGGGTACGTGCTAGGGAACATTTTCTCTACGAGGCTTGCATTTAAAAATATATCTTTCTTCAAAGCTGGCCCGGGGAGTGGATGGCGAGGAAGAAGCCTTCTTTCTCCGTGCTTATTGGGCGCTAATTCATCCTGTGATTTGCTGCGGATAGCTTACTTCTCTGAGCCTGCGTTTGCTGTGTGAGAATGACTGAGATCCTGTCTTTCAGCCAGTTAATGTTTTAGACAATTCCTGGATGAAAGCCACGCTCCAGAATTCGTCCCCCGCAGTGTGTTTCCTGGGTGCCCATGGGGCCAAGGAGGACAGAGGACGGTAGCTAAGGGTAACCCTCACTACTAAAGGCTCTCACCTCTTCTTCCTCCTTGGATGTGTCCCTGAAGACATTTGTCTCTTGGTTTCTTTATTCTCAAAAGGAGGACAATTCCTACCCGCTCCCTAAGAATGTTTAGGAGTAATAGCTAACAGAAGTTATTTAAAAGTACCTGGCAAATAACATTCAGGACCAGGTGCTGAATGATCCCCTTCCTCACACCACCCTACCTAATGCATTACCTATGTGCTCCCCTTTCAAATGCATTGCTGACAGACTGCCCTATGGGGTGTAAGGCTATTCTGTACAGAAGAGGTCTCTCGGGCTCCTCCAGAGAAGTTTGCTTTGCAGGAACCGCTGAAATCCTTACATGTCCAAACGCATGTTCTGGGTAGAAAAAAACAGGTGATGAGCTGTAAGGTAGAAGGCTGCCAGGATCCACCCATGGGCACCCAGGGTTTGGCACCCCTCTTTCCAGGGGGAAGCAAAAGTGAACCAATCAACACGACGAGGTCAAGTTCAAGTCTGCCTCAGTAAAACCCTGGGGACTTTCTTCTTGAAAAACAACTGGGACAGTGTGACAGCTGTTTAAGGATGCCAAAGAAAAGGGTCCCCGGGGAAACCTCCCCAAGGGCTACTCTGCTTGCAGGAGTCTGTGATAAGTGACAAAAAAAAGACAGACAGTGAGAATAGGGCAAGCCAGGCCCAGGTGAATGCTCTGATTAGCTAGTGATCGGAGTGCCACAAAGATGTAAGATCTAGCAGTGACGACAATCATGATAATAACTACATTGATTATTATGGTTGTCATTGAGGCCTGTTAAACAATAGACTGCCTTTTAGCTGTGGCCCCTCTAAGAACATTTTACCCAGAAAAGTGTACCACATTGCAATCCTCACAGCCCCTTCCGTGGCTTCATTTGGTATGCTTACAAATGAAACACAAATCAGGTTTTATGGTTGCTAGATACATATTTGCAACAACTTTAAAATCTGGTTCATGATGCAAGTTGTTCCTCACAGCAAATGCGTGGTGGGACGTCAGAACGACGACAAAGGTGGGAACAAAATCTCTGCCCAGAGATGTGACGTGTTGGAGGCGAAAACAGATTGCATTTGCATGGCAGCCACTGCCACTGAAACAGGCTGGAGAAATTCCTTTTATGGCAGGCACTGGACTTAGAACCCAAAGACCTGGATTTCATTATTGGCTCAGCCACCTCCCGGCAGTGTTAACTGGGGCAGGTTAGTTAACCTTTCAGAGACTCGATGGTCTCACCTGTAAACTGGAGCTCAGGATACCTAGCTGTCAGGGTGGTTAGGATGGTCAAAGGGCACCCCCAGGAGCATGATAAACATGAGCTGAAACAGCGAAGTCGGAATCTGTATACAGACATGACCTGTCGCCTCTCGGAGCATTAACCCTCCCAGTGAACTGGCAGGAGAGGTCTCCTGTCTTACTTCTCGGAGCAGAGGCACAGAGCTGGGAAGTCGGCCTGCCCACCTCCCCTGAGAGCTGGCAAGAGAGCCAGGAATGGGATGCACGCACATGCCGTTTGATCCAGAGCTCTTGCTACCAGGCGCATGGCCTCTTTAACAGCTCACCGGTTGTTGGATTTGCTTCCATTTTCTCCTGGGCCTAAATCGTTCCCCAGCTTCCAAGGGGCACTCCCTCTTTCACACTTGAGGGTACCACCCAGGGAACTGAAGGCTCGGAAAGAGTAGCAACAGGGAGTAACATGGGCACCAGGGAGAAGGAGGCTTGTTATATTCTTTCTAGATGAATCTCCAGGCTGCGGCAGTCCCGGGCGAGTCCCAGGCCTGCCGCAAAACCTGTCCGCCGTGGGACTGCCTCAACATGCTGTTTGGGAAGTCAAGATGTTCAGTGTAAACTTTGTTCTCCCTTCCCTTTCTTCGGGGATTCACAGAGGCAGCTCTTCCAGGGCCTTCCTCTCCAAGTCTTTCTGGTGCTGAAATCTGAGGTCACACACCCTGGAACACGACTTCTCTGTCAGAACAAGCCCGTGAAGCGGCTGTCCTATCCGAGAGGGCTGTGCAGCGGGTGGTGTTGGCCCTTGAGTTTGCCATGGTTTGGGTTTCTCAGTGGCACTATTTTTGGCAGATTTTTTTTTCCCTCGCTCTTTATCACAAGCCCGTCGGGGAAATGACAGCGGAATTGCAAGCTTGAATGGACTTGTTTGACAGGCCAACTTTCATCCTGAGCACTGCTGCTGACTTTTAAAAAGGAACTCTGAGAGGAGGATAGTAATTTCACACTAATTCCTTGCTGTAATTTGCTTTTGAGTATAAAATGTCGTGTTTCAATCACCCTAGCTGCGTGGTGTAAGGGAGAAGATGGGACACACGTGTGGTTAATGTGTTTGTAATAGACACACACAAAGACACCACTTTGCTCTGAAGCAACAACACAGGAAACACTCATCCACACTTCAAGGGAATCTCCACCAGGTACAAACAAGTGCATTCAAAGGAATTCATAATACATTGCCAGCTTTGGCAGAAACAGAGAGCTCCTTTAAACAGAAAATCTCACGCTTGACATCTCCATCATCCAAGCGTTTATGAGAATATCTTTATCCCCCAGGCTGCATTATGGAGAGGAATTGGGGTGGTTTTAGGCAAACCCCAAAAGTAGGAGGGTCTGAAACCCTGGATGGACTTAATGCATTGGGGGAACAGATCAGGTTCAGCTGAGGAAAGTGAAATTCATCTGGGAGAAGGGTAAGTTAATAGGTACTGGCCAAAAGGGAAATAGCCTCCACGCTGAAGAGAGCTGATGAGGCTGTGCTTGGAAAATCCCCTAAGAAAAAAACTACAGGGTCTCACAGAGAAGCCAGTGGTGAGGGCTTTGCCCAGTTTAGAAGCAGGAAGCAACAACTTTTTCTGATTTATTAATCTGCACATGGAAGCACCCTAATCCCATCCCTTCACCAACTCTCACCGCACTTAACTATCCTGGCCACACTGCCTGACATTTCATTTTTCTCCCGGGATGGCCGCTAATATTTCACATACTTAGTCTTGCTCTCACCTAGATTATAAATTCCTCGAGGTCAGGAGTCAAAATCCAGCCCCAGGCTCCTTCCCAGGACTCCGTAACTCCCTGGAGGATTGCAGAGCCCTTCACACATTGTTCGCAAGGCTTCTGAAACAATGGCAAGATTGCACAAGGGCCAGGAAGGGTATTTTTAGAACAGATCCAAGCTCTTTGGTGGGCCCTCAGGCTGTTTACCACCTAACCTGACCGCCTTTGGTGTCCTTCTGGCCCTGGCTCCATATGCCGTGTGCTCCAGCTGAGCAAAACTAAATGCTCTCATGCCTCCGTGTCTTTGCACGTGCTGTTCCCTCTGCCAGCTGCCCTTGCCCCTTCTTGCATCTGTGGACTGTCTTTCAGCTCTAGGCCGCCTTCTCTCTCCCCACGGAACTGCCAGCATCCCTTAGGCAGAGCTGATGGTGCCTCACTCTGTGGGTCCAGGGTGCTTTCTGGAGGCCTTAATGGGGAGGCAGGGCCAGCTGCCAGTCATCAGGTTGGTACAGCCATCGGGTTGGTACTGCCTGGTTGGCAGGCCTGTCTTTTCAGTTAGCCTGAGACTGCCTTGAGGCCAGGGCTACCTTCCTCCCTGTCTCTAAGTTCTTGGCCCCCAGCACAGTGCCTGGCACTCAGCAAATGTTTCTTGAATGAATGTGCTTCCCATGTTGGGCAGATCATGACGAAGGCAATAGCAGGGCCCAGTGTGTAATGCGAGGACAGCAAAAAGGGACCCTGCTTTGAGACCAGAGATGCTTCACAGGGAAGCCACATCTGGAGCCCTTCCTGATAAGCTGGGTCAACTGGGACCGCTCCTAGACAGGGTGTTTGAGGAGGTGGTGCTTGCTTTAGGCAGCCCCAGCCTCATTCTGAGAGCTTGTTCCACTTTGAGGATTTCTCTGTTTTCCATTTCCAAATCTTTATGCTATCCCTCAGTTACACTTGCTCAAAGGGTGATTGCTAGCAGTCTCCGAAGATAGGCTAAGAGGTGTGGGTAAGCGGCAGTGTGCTGGGGTTGGGGATGGGGGGACAGGGCATTGCCCGGGCTGTGTGGGAGGCAGGAGCGAGATGATGAAGATTCTGGACTCCAAGCTGGCCCCAGATGCCAGCCCACCTTGTGTGATACACTGAGAGTGCCTCAGTTTCCCTGCCTGTTAAACAGTAATGGCTCCTTCATTGAGTTGTTCTGAAAAATCAAGTTAGTACAAAGGAAGCACAGAAAGTGTGCCTGACACAGGCAATCTCTCACTGCATGCCAGCTCCTGGCATTTGGAATCTGAAGATGGAATCCAGTCTGACTTCCTTCACTCGCAAGTTGTCCAAGTCACCTCACCTCCCCATTCATGTTCTCATGTCTCTGAGATGAGGATAATAAGGCTGACCTTGCCGGGTGTTGGGAGAATCAGATAATCAGAGAGTGGAGTGAGTGCATTTTGCAAGCTACAAGGTGCCTTCCCAAGGGAAGCGTGAAGTCACCTGGGTGAAGGTATTGGGAAGTGAGGCCCTGTCACAGATCCTGCCCCACAAGAGCTACCCCTGTAAGGAATCAATGACTCGGTATTAACCATGCTTTTAATTTCTGTAAAGTGATGCATTGACATCCACCTAAGGCCCTATTTGCCAACCTAAGCCAATTGTGACTCACCCGTTGCAATGGTTAACTTTATGTGTCAAGTTGGCTGGGCTGTGCTGCCTGGATGTGTGGTCCAACATTATTCAGAATGTTTCTGTGGGAGTGTTTTTGAAAGAGATTAACATTTAAATCAGCAGGCTTTGAGCAAAGCAGGTGGCCCTCCATGTTGCAGGTGGGCCTCATCCAATCAACTGAAGGCTCCAGTAGAGCCAAGCCTGACCCTAGGAAGAGAATTCTGCCAGTGGACGGTCTTCTAACTTGAACTGCAACATCATCTCCCTGGGTCTCCAGCCTGCTGGAGATTTTGGACTTTTCAGCCTCCATAATAATGTGAGCCAATTCCTTAAAATGTCTCTCTCTCTCCCTCTCTTCACCCATCCCTCCGCTCCGCATGCTTCTATTGATTCTGTTTCTCTGGAGAACCCTGGCTAATATACCCGTAGACATCTGGAGTCCTCAGATAACTTTAAACTCTACACTCTGACAGTCACAGTAAAGGTGAATTTCGCAGGGGTGCCACTTGCAAACACAGCTAGCCGGTCCCGAGCCCGCACACCCTGCCTTGCTTTTCCTTCCCATGGAAACCACCCTAACAGCTCCTGCCACTGTCCCACTCTCCCTCTGGCTCCTGACCCACCCCGAGGGTGGCCCTGTGGTCCTGCACGCTGTGCCACTGTGGCCCTGCACGCTGTGCCACTGTGGCTCTGCATGCTGTGCTGTGTTCTCCCAGGCAACTGTGAGAATACTAAATCTTTCAACTTTCTCCATCTCTCTCCCGACCTCGCCTGGGCTTCCTGCACCTCCTCCAAGGTAATGTGATGAGACAGACTGTGATTGCAGCCCAGTGCCAGCGAAACTGTGGGCCAGCCCTGGCCCAGAGCTGGGCAAGTGAGTTATTTGTCCCTGTCACGTGGTGCTCTGCCAGCTGCGACGGTGCTATTCTATGTGAGATCTGGGGCTGATAGAAATGATGGCAAACTTCTTGAGCAGCTTAGGCTAAAAGAATTGGTCTTTGCATAAAACAGAAATTGTCATCATCATTATAAACACTATCCTGGCCCTCCAGAGAGCCCAGATGAGCTGTGTTCTTGGTGAGGACAAATGTCCTTCCAGAAGAGGGGTATTTATTGGCTCTTCAGGTCCCAGAGAAGTCCCAATCCCCCATGCAGGAAGGATTCCAGAAGCATCCATGTCTGAGGATAGGACCCTATCTCAGAGCAGAGCTCGCTCGCTGCACCTAGGGGAAGAGGAGGACAGTTGCTTTCCAGAAAAAAGTTAATTTACCCTGAGTGATTCATAAAGTTGCAGAATCACAGAATTACAGAACCTTAGAATTTCAGAGGCTGAAAGGGATCTAACAGGGCATCCGGGTCCAATACCCCTCATTTTAAGCAAGAAAAAAAAAATAATTCCAATTAAAATACAGCCCTCCACTCGTCTGCAGTTTCTATATAGAGCCCCAGATGAATGCTAATTAGAAGACTGGTTGGAAGAACAGCTTTTTCCTACAACCGGTGTTCATTTTGTGGGATTTCTCACTGTTGATTAATTAATGTAAGCATCCGTCCATTCACCTGTTTGTCTGTTCACCTGTCTATTCATTGCTGCATCCATTCCTCACCCCAGTAAAAAATTGAGGCAGTTACATCAAGAATACAGACATGGTTTGCTCTCCCTCCCTCCTCCTTCCTTTTTGTTTTTCTCTCCCATCCAGGATGAAGACGAGCTAGCTCTGCGCATGTGTGCGTGTGGGAGAAAGGCCAGTTGCAGTCAGTGTCACGGTGCTGTTTTTGAAACTCTGCAGGTCCCTCATAGGCCGGCTGATATCACCCATGCCAGGATTGCTTGGCCTTGACAGAGCCTGTGTTAGAAGGGACTATCATGAAGGTATCCAAGATACTAAAGGGCTGAAACAAGCCCCTCTCTTGTCTTCACAGTATCTTCCAGTGGCAGACAGGAGGCCACTGGATGAAGCTGAGGACAAATAAATGTCAATAAACCACCACTGGGAGCTGCTGCTCCCCCATTTCCCGTGGCCTGCAGGGGGTCACTGAGTTAAATGTTACAGCTGATTGTGAAAGGGACCTGGTGAATCCATGATCAATAATGACATTGGTTTTTACACGAGCTAAGATAAGGGTAATTAAATCTTGTGCTTCAGGCCATATAAACTGATCTCCACAGGAGGGCAAGAATTAATTTAATTCCACACACACAACCCCTTCCAACCCCTCTGACAGCTTTAGTATAATGGACTCAGTGCAGGATGGGGAAGATAGAGCACCAGGTATTAACCACCACACCTATCGGGAGCTTGAACTTGATGGGCCTCGTGGCTGATCCAGGGCAGCAAATCCAGAGCTGCTTACAGCTTCTCTCTGTGCTGGGTTTATTACATACAATCTGTACAGGGGCTGTTTCCACACTTAATGGCAGTCCTGAATCACTATCTATTTCCCATCCTTGCCTGCAAAACAGCAACCCAGAGCTAGTGCTATGCCGTCAATACCGGGCCCCATAAAGCCACTGCTGTATAGATTTGCCTTTTTGTGCATGTGCGTCTGATTCACGAGCACTTTGGCAGCCTTCCAGGCTTGAGGAGAGGAAAAAAACATCCTGAGCATCCCAACAGCCTCATTTTGATCTGTGATACTGAGCAACTCATTTCCACTTCACAGGCTCTGCTGAGCTGTGCCACAGAAAGACAAATCCCAGATGTGGCAGGGGTGGGAGGCGGTGGAGGGAGAGGGGCTGGCTGGAAGGAAGGAGGGTGCAGGAGAGGGAGGGAGGGAGGGAGGGCCAAGGGAAGGGAGGGAAGATGAAAGCAGAAAAGGGCCACATTTATTAAGCTGTTTTTCTTTTGGTGAAAAGAAGCATTTATCAGTGATTTCATATATCATGTGAGAGGTGGCTTCCTGCCAATTTCCAAGAATCCAAACAACCCGCTGACATCATATGCTAAATATAGCTCAGGCTTTGCTTTAGGTGAACAAATAATGCCGCTGGACAGGAATAGGTTCTCTTCAGTTACATGGTTATTATGATCGGCTGTCAGGCTTGTGTAATCAAAAGAATCATGTCCAGTTCCAAGGAGGAATGGTGCAAAGAACTCATCAAACAATTTCGGGAGATGACTGATGAACCCCCATTCCTCCTGCCTTCCCAGGTGGCCGGCTGAGCCTGGCTGCTGGAGGAAAGGTGGGCAACTCTGTTGTTGCAGGTCTTCAAAGCCCTGGTGTGTGTGTGTGTGTGTGTGTGTGTGTGTGTGTGTGTGTGTGTGTGCGTGCGCTGTATTTCCACCTCTGCCCTGCCCATCAGAAAAGGTGGCTGATCTCTCCAAGGGAAATGCGTAGAAGGAAGACAGACCTTCAAACTCACAGATATGGTGCAGGAGCTATTCATGAGGCTGGGGCAGGAGCGAGCGGGGTGGGGTTGGTGGCACAGATAGTTCAGGCAGTCTGTTTATTCTGCAAGCATTCAGGTAAGGGTGCTTGTCTGAAGGCAATCGGAGAGCCATCTTCCACGGCTCTTGGGCTCTGGTACTTTTGATTCTACCTCCCATAGCTTTTGTGTTGTGCGTGTCCTGTCCGGGACTGGTGCCTGTCATTCTGTCTGAAGCCACCTGAAAGATTAAGATTCGTAATGAGACCTCTCCCTCCTCTGCCAGCACTCTCCTTCTCCCTGCCCACTCCCCCAGGCTCACACTGGGGAGACAGGGAGCTTGGGATGGGTTTGTAAGTATTTGGAGGAAGGGGCAGCAGTAAGGAGAAGAGAAGGACGAGAAAATTAGTGAGGGAGATAAGGAGCCGGTGCATCAAAATAGCTGCTGGAAGGTGTTGTATCCCTTCGAACATCTGCATGATTTCCCTTCTCAGTCAGGGATACAATAGAGGTTGTTACTATGGAAACTGGTGTAAAAGCAGCACAGAGAAAGGAGAGGGCTGGATATAAAGAGGAAAGAGTAAAAGGCATATACCACTTTTAAATCATCAAAGAGGAATACTATAGCACTTCCCACCTCCAAGAGGAGGAAATAAGTCACTGAGCCCAGGGAGGGTTGAATACTATGATCATGGGAGGGGTCAGAGACTATCGGACACCACCATCCTTTCCCCTGGAAGCCTGTGTGTTGAATCTGTCCACTGCTGTAAGATCGTTAGCCAGAAAAGAACGTCCAGGCAGTTGAGGGTGGTCAGCTTCATGGTAGATGGCATGCTTGGCTCTGCTCGGCCACGGCCTTTGGGAATGGCCTTGGAGGGAGCAGGCCATTTTTCTGTGTCACGGTTTCATCACCTGCCTTCCTCAGAGGAATGACGAAGCACCTTGCTCAAGAAAGAAATGCTAGTGCCATTCAAGGCAAAGAAAGGACAGAGCTTCATGTGCTCTGTGTGCAGAGGGAAAAAATGTGAGCAATTCCAGCTGGTGTCCTCAGCATCATACCCAAGAGGGGCCACGGACCAGGCAGAGGCCAAAGTCTGTGCGTACCTAGCCAGTTTCACTTTGTTTCAGTGTGGGTATTAGTGGGATGAAATCATTTGCTCAGGCTGAGGAGAGTTTTGACAAGTCATTGGTGTTTCATGCAGACTCATACACGCAATCCTGTAGACCAGTCTGTCCGATAGAAATATGACGCGAGCCACGATGCAATTTATTTATTTATTATTATTTCTATAGAGACAGGGTTTCACTTTGTCACCTAGGCTGGAGTGCAGTGAGGCAATCATAGCTCACTGAAGCCTTGAACTCCTGGGCTTTAGCGATCCTCCCACCTCAGCCTCCCATGTAGCTGGGACTACAGGTGTGAGACATCACACCCAGCTAATTTTTAAATTTTTTGTAGAGATGGCTGGTCTCAAAATCCTGGCCTCAAGCGATCTTTCCACCTCGGCCTCCCAAAGCACTGGGATTACAGGCGTGAACCACCTCACCTGACCCACTATGGAATTTACAATATCCTAGTAGTCACATCCAAAAAGTAAAGAAACAGGTTAAATAAACTTTAATATAATTTCTCTGTCATGTTATTTAACCCTGGTATATCCAAAATATGATCATTTCAACAAAATTAATTCAGAGATTATTGATGAGATATTTTATACCCTTTCATACTGAATCTTTGAAATCTGGATTTATTATTATGTGTGTTATGTGTATGAGAGAGAGAGAGGGAAAGAGAGAGAGAGAGAGATAGAAAGAAAGAGGGAGGGAAGGAAGGAGGGAGGAAGGGAGGGCCAAGGAAAGGGAGGGAAAATGGAAAGAAGGAAGGAAGGAAGGAAACAGGTCTCTGGCTCAGGCACTAACTCTAACTACGTGCCTTGCATCACTGTGGGAGCGATAATAACACACACTCACTCTTTGAACAGATGGTCAGCCTCGAGTACCTCCCTTTACCATTGAACAGTGACCCCTCATCCTCCAACCACAATCCATGGCCGCTGGAATCAGACAAACCCAGCTGAAACCACAGCTCTCTTTCTGAGTGCCTCTCTCTGAGGGAGTTTCTTAACCTTTCTGAGTTTTCCTCAGCTGTGAGATGGGAATCCTATTTTACAATTGAAGGTAGGTCCCTCAATTGTTTTGGGGATGGAATAAGAGAATGCCTAAGACCAGGTCTAGCACTGATAAGGGAAGCTCCTTCCTGTCCCTTATCCCAGCTCTAGTTTGCCAGTCTTCCGCTGAGCACCTAATCTTCTCCAGGCCTCTGTGAGTGAACAAACTAGAATTGTACATTTTTCATGTACTCAGAAAGCCGCTTGAGTAGAAAGGAGACTTCAAGGACTAAGATTGAGTTTGTTTCACTAATTCACTCCAGGCTGATCACTGGATGTTTCCCCAATTCAGAGAGATACTAATATGCAGCCATTCAGAAAGAGTCCTTTTGATGACCATGGGTTACATGGTAAGATGTTTAGAGAAGAAAATTAAAATATGTCCTTCCTTATAAATAAGATCTAGCATTTGGTAGCACAGTAGGGTGACTGTAGTTAACAATAATTTATTGTATATTTTAAAGTGGAATTGAAATGTTCCTAGCACGAAGAAATGATAGGTGACGGATACCCCAATTACCCTGATGTGATTATTACACATCGTATGCCTATATGAAAACATTGTATGTACCCCGTAAATATAGACAACTATTATGTACCCATAATAATTAAAAATTTAAAAATAGGTCCTTTCTGTCCTAGAGTGGCATTGTCCCATATAGTAGCCACTAAACTCATGGGGCTATTTAAATTTGCATTAATTAAAATTTGAACATTTACTTTCTCAGAAACACTAGCCACATTTCAGGTGCTCAATGAACACATAAGGCTAGTGGCTACTGATTGGACATTTCAGATATAGAACATTTCTGCATACTAGAAAGTTCTGTCACCACCGCTCTAGATTTTTAGTCATTTATTCAATATGCAGCCAAAATAAAACTCAGAGACAGCAGGACAGCATGCGTAAGCAGGCCTAAAGTCAAACTGGGTGGGTTTCATCCTTTCTCCACTTTGGCCATATGTCAACTTAAGTTAGTTTCTTTTTTTCTTTTGAGATGGAGTCTCACTCTGTCATCCAGGCTGGAGTACAGTGATGCTATCTTGGCTCACCACAACCTCTACCTCCCGGGTTTAAGCGATTCTCCTGCCTCAGCCTCCAGAGCAGTGGGATTACAGGCACCTGCCACCACACCCGGCTAATTTTTGTATTTTTAGTAGAGACGGGATTTTGCCGTGTTGGCCAGGCTGGCCTCGAACTCCTGACCTCAGGTGATCCTCCCACCTCAGCCTCCCAAAGTGCTGGGATTACAGGTGTGTGAGCCACCACGCCCAGCCTTAAGTTTTTTAACCTCTCTGTGCCTCAGCTTCTCAGTTTCATCATCTGCAAAGTGGGAATGATAGTAATATAACTTAATTCAGCAGATTATTATCAGAATCAAGTAAAGGAATGCAAGTAAAGTGCTTATAACACAGCCTGGCAGGTCGTAAGTGCTTAGTAAATATTAGATATGACTATTCATTATGCCCCATTAACTCTTTTCAAAAACAAGAGAGGGTTAGGATTATACTGAAAGGTGAAGGTGCCCTCCATTAACCCAAAAGACTTCCTGGAAGAGGTAATCCCTTAAGCTGTGATTCAAAGGACGGAAAGGCATTCTCCATTATTCAATGCATTTGATAGGCATTTATTGGTCATTTGTTATATATAAAGCACTGTTGTGGCTGTTGGAGATGCAAAAATGATGACAGAGGGTCCATTCTATCTTGAAGTCCCGTCTAGAGAAGGAGAAAGCCTACACAGTTGATCCTTGAACAACACAAGTTTGAACTGCACGGTCCACTTATGCATGGATTTTCTTTTGCCTCTGCCACCCCTGAGATGGCAAGACCAATCCCTCCTCTTCCTCCTCCTCCTCAGCCTACTTGACATGAAGACATCAAGAATGAAGACCTTTAAGATGATCCGCTTCCATGTCATGATGAGCAAATATATTTTCTCTTCTTTATGATTTTCTTTTCTCTAACTCACTTTCTCGTGAGAATAGTGTCTAATACCTAGAACATACAAAATGTATGTTAATCAACTGATTATGTTATCAGCAAGGCTTCTGGTCAACATAGACTATCAGTAGTTAAGTTCTGAGAGAGGCAAAAGTTATATGTGGATTTTCCGCTGTTAAGGGGTTGGCGCCCCAACCCCCATGTTGTTCAAGGGTCACCTGCTCTTCCAGGAGTAAGAGCAGTGATGGATTTATGCACAGAGTGGCAGGAGACCCTGGAGAAGAAGCCCTAGCTCAGCGGGGAGACCAAGGAGGACAATGTGGAAGGGGCAGTCCTGAGTAGACCCTTAAATCCCTGGGAAATGGCAGGCTGTGTGCAGGCGTGATCAGACCTTCAACAGCACCTAAAGTTACAAGGCCCAGTCTCAGAATCCCCTGGGGATATTCAATCAGCATCTTGATGATTGACAAGATGAGCTTCAGCCTGTGCCTTTAACACTGCAGGGGCTGAGCCCCTCTAGCAGCATCTCCAACACCACCAGTGGACCAGCAGCCCTGGGGCCTGCCTGGCTTCTGCAGCTCAAGGCGCAATGGGAAACCACAGATGTCACAAAAATTGGCTCCCTTCCGCCGGGCGCGATGCCTCACACCTGTAATCCCAGCACTTTGGGAGGTCTAGGAGGGCCGATCACCGGAGGTCAGGAGTTTGAGACCAGCCTGGCCAACATGGTGAAGCCCCGTCTCTACTAAAAATACAAAAATTAGCTGGGCATGGTGGTGTGCACCTGTAATCCCAGCTACGCGGGAGGCTGAAGCAGGAGAATTGCTTGAACCCAGGAGGTGGAGGTTGCAGTGAGCCGAGATTGCGCCACTGTACTCCAGCCTGGGGCGACAGAGTAAAACTGTCTCAAAAAAAAAAAAAAAAGCTCCCTTCTAAGACAAGTGAAAGCATGTAGCATCAGGGAGATGTGCCCCATTATTATTCTGGTCATTGTTGGTTCTTACAAAGTTGAAATTTTAGCATCTCTCACGATGGCTCTTCTAAAAAGACCCCATGTGTTCTTGGGAAGAAAGGGCAGGCTGAGGCTGCCTTGAGAATCTGGCTGGGTCTGTTGGTCTAGCATTGAGAGGCTGACACGCCAGCCTACTGCCCCCAAGGGCCGGTTTCATATGCAAGTCAGGCACCGCCAGCCAAGTGGGAAAGGCAGCCCCAGAAGAACATGTTTCTGGTGACTGGGAAGCTTTGAGCAGACCTACAGCCCTGGCATAACGATGAGCCTCCTGCACAGGCAGCGGCGGCCGACAGCCAGGCAGGAGGAGGGCGGAGGAGCGGCGCACAGCCTCCACCAGAGCATCTGGGGGCTCAAGCCGCCAGAGAGCCCTGGAGACTAGGTAATGGAATTCCTAAACGGATGAAGCACTGAGCTCCAGACCCCTGTCCATGCCCAAGGACGGAAACATTGTATTTCTCCTTGGGACTTCAGGCTTTCCCCCTGCCTTTTCCTGTTCTTTCCAGCCGTTGCCTGGGCAGGAAGAGGCCTTTCCGAACAGACTTCTTTGTCTTCCACTTGGTCTGCCCCTCCAGGTCTCATCCGGGACTGTTCTGTGCCTCACAGATCAGAAACACTGTAGGGGTGACCAGCCCTCCAGCACTGTCTGGAACCATCCTTGGTTTTAGCTCTGAAGGTTCCTGTATCCTGAGAGAGGCCCTCAGGCCTGGGCCAACCTGCACCTTGCCCAGCTGCCCCCTTAGCCCTCAGAGCCAGGTTGAGGTACTGCCCAAGCAGCAGTCATGTCAGGATTCTCCTTCCACTTCCAACAAAGAGCTCTTTATGTCTTAGCCAGCAAAGGACAAGGCTAGCATGGGCATTTACCCCACTGCCTCAGCTGCCTCACCAGGAATGCAGGAGATGCAGATGCACGGATGAGAAAGCTTTGCCTGTCCCAATGCACAGCGATGCCTGACGCTGCCTCAGAGTACCTGTGCTCTGCCCATCCAGCTTCTGGTCATCCGAGGCCCAGGTCCCAAAGGGGCGTGGGAGGAGATGGTGGGAGAGACAGCTAGGCCCCATGCTGGACACCTGAGAGGGAGACCCTGGCTTTGTGTTGAGGTAAGTTCGAGAGATCTGAGACTACCCTTGACTGTGGATCGGCAGTAGTAGGAATCTAACTCGCTCTCTGTCGTTGTTTTTTTTCTTTACACCGAGTCGTGCTCTGTCGCCCAGGCTGGAGTACAGTGGTGCAATCTCAGCTCACTGCAACCTCCGTCTCTCATGTTCAAGCAATTCTCATGCCTCAGCCTCCCGAGTAGCTGGGATTACAGGCGCCCACCACCATGCCCGGCTAAGTTTTGTATTTTTTAGTAGAAATGGGGTTTCACCATGTTGGCCAGGCTGGTCTCGAACTCCTGACCTCAAGTGATCCACCTGCCTCGGCCTCCCAAAGTGCTGGGAAAACAGGCGTGAGCCACCGCACCTGGCCTCTGTCATCTTTTTTTAGAGACAAGTTCTCGCTCTGTCACCCAGGCTGGAGCACAGTGGTGTGATCACAGATCACTGCAGCCTTGAATTCCTGGGCTCAAGTGATCCTCCCACCTCAGCCTCCCTGAGCAGCTGGGACTACAGACACACGCCACCACAGCAGGCTAATTTTTAAATTTTTTATAGCGAGAGGGTCTTGCTGTGTTGCCCAGGCAGGTCTTGAACTCTTGGCCTCAAGCAATCCTCCTGCCTCAACCTCCCAACGTGCTGGGATTAACAGGCAGGAGCCACTATACCCGGCCAACTCTCTTTGATCTTAAACCAAAGAAATGAGATTTCTCCGAAGCCAGAGTTATAAGTGATGGGGGTCAATTGTGAGGAACTGAATGGATTTAACTGTGAATGGTGTAGAACTTATTCTACAGCACACTAAGGTCAAATCAGATCTGTATTCTCCTACGCAAACAGTAGGAAATGTGGGAGATTATGTGATACTGAAAAAAAAAATGGAAAAGGAAAGCAATTCATTTTCTTCACTGTTACAAAACATCACTTTTGTGTGTATAAACCTGGAATCAATTATTCAACTTCCCTTATGGATAAAGCATAACTTGTAATAAACAGCAAAGAGGGTTGTTCATTTCACTTAATGATAAATAAAATGATGTTTGACCAATTTGATGAAGACAGTAAGTCAAACTTAAATGGTCGGGCATTTTATGTTGCTGAAACTACTAATCTTATTAAGAAGCTTTTCACATTTAAAATATGCAAAATGCAAGCAAAATTTAGTAGAGAAAGTAAAGTTAAATATTTAATGACATAATTAAGTCTTATTAATGGTATGTTCTTTATTTTGCAGATTAAATATTCACAACGATTATCATCTCTTTCATCTTTATTACTTAAGCAATGTGTTTTTCATAATTATTTGTTAGGTATTTTCATTAACATTTGATGAATATTAATAGTTAAAATAAAAAACAGTTTTTATTTCTGTTGTAATGACTTTATGGTGATCATAATATGTAAGTAAGTGTTTATAATGTGCGCTACTGGTTAATATTTAGATCACTGATTTTTTTCCACAGAATAGAAACGTGGATATTTATGGGTGATAAATGGCAATCATCACATTCTTCCATTACTCTTTATTTATTTATTTAATCTACTATTCTTAATGTAGCTTCATTGTGGGAGACATATGAATTGCAAGCTTACAATGAAGGCTAATAAGTAGAATTTTAGGTTGAGTCCCACTCTTGCATTAATAATGGTTTGCCTCTCTTTTTAGATGTACTGATTCATTTCCCATTTTTACCTCATTCCCCTCACGGATTTGGTCCAGCAGAGTTAGATGGCGCTGGTACCTTTTCCCTCCATGACCTTTAAAGCTTAGACTGATGGCCTCACAGATATTTTTCTTCGGGGACAAAGGATGAGGATTTTCCATCCCGAACAACATGAAGCAAATGCGCATGGATCTCCTGATTTTTCATTCAGACAGTGATTACAGAGTAAACAGCACTGGGTCAGATCAGCGTGCACGGTCAATGTGGCCTGCATATGGTGACTATCCCTCCCTGCACCGTGTGGCAGCCACATTGTCCTGACCCACTGGGAAGCTTGTCACTTCCAGAGCGGCCCAGGAGATGCATGTCGACCATCCCCACTTCAGGCTCCCACGTGGCAGGCTGCAGACCCCTGGCCAGGCTTTTTTTCTGAAACCTTTAGTGGATTTTCCTTGAGGATGACCGACAGAATGATGGTGATGTATTCTAGTCTCATGGTCAGGCCTGCAATCACATTTCGAAGCAGCCTCCAGATCCCTGCTCAGCATTCTGTGACTGACGCGGGTGGAGGCATTACAGTCCAGACAGAGTCAGTGCTAATCAGAACAGGATGCCCTTTAGCTTCCTCGGGAAAGCTTTATCTCTTTAGCAGGAGCTATCTGCATTTTTAAAGCCACAGCCTGTTGGAAAGAGCTCCGAACCACAAAAATGTACAGCAGGGGTAAGCAGAGTTCCTAGCCATTAACCACCTCCAGGCAGTTAATCATTTCAGTTTAGAAGAACCCACGTTCGCTTCAAGAGCAAGTATATTCTGTTGGAAACCTACTATGTTGGGCTCTTTCGAAAGCTAGTTCTGATTCTCACAATGCCCTGCTGAGCGGACGGGAGTCCCCCGTTGTATGGACAAGCAGATGAAGCTCAATGAATTAGTTGACTGCTCTAAGGTCTCATGGTTGATCTTGGGCACAGCTGGGGTTCGAAGCCCGTTCTTTCTGGCTCAGAGTCCTGTGCTCTTCTCAGCAGGATGTGACGCTACCTCCCCCACTGCCATTTTTCTGTGTGATTATATGGGACCCAAGCTCCAGGTAAATCTGATTGTTAAGAAAAAGCCCCAATATACACAGAGGCACAAGAAAAAGGAATAGATCTCACCCTGTTGGTGAAGCCAATGCGTGAACCTAATGTGCAGAAAGACACCACTGACGTCTTCCCGGGCCCCTGCCTCGCATCCTTGCCTTGCTGACTATTTGGCCCTGGCCTAGAAAATACAGTGCTCATTCTCAGACGTGTATGTGCAAGTGTTTGTCTCTCCAGCCAAGCTGTCCTCAGGTCCTTAGCCGTCTGCGTGTTCCCCAGCTCTCTACAAACAGCTATCCTGGAATAGCTAAAACTGAGATTTTAATAATGTGTGCTTAAAGCATTTATGCTAAAAAAAACTTGCCAGTTCTGGCCATTTCCAGTAACAATATGTGCTCTCATCACTGCTAAGAGTCTGGCAATGAGCAGATGATGCTACTGAAAGCAAGTGAAGACAGTGAGACAGGGCTCAATCCATGCCATGCCTCTGAGAGCCTAGGAGTCATGGCACAGCGCCAAGAATACCCCTTCAACATGACAAGCAGGACTCAGTTTCCCCCTTTTGAGCATATCAAGGAAAAACATATGTAAGGGCCTGCGCAGTGACTCACGACTGCAATCCCAGCACTTTGGGAGGCCGAGGCGGAAGGATTGCTTGAGGCCAGGGTTTGAGACCAGCCTGGGCAGTACAGCTGGACCCTGTCTGTACAAAAAATTTAAAAAAATAAATAAAAACACATGTGGACTCAACAAGGACAAATATGGACTCCTTGCACCCTGGGGTGAGCCGGGAGGGGCGATGCAGTCCGCACCAGCCAGGACCGCACACGTGGTGACATCAGGCCTGCCTTCCCTCTCATCTGTAATGTCTCTCCTTGTCCAGCCTGCAATGTGACCATTGTTTATTACCTATTGAGCCCCAGCACCATATTTGGCTCTGCAGGCAAGATTGATAGATTCTTGCTGTCACCAGCCGCACTCTGATGGCAGCTTTCCAGGCCTCCTCCTCACCCCTCCCCCAGCCCCACTCCACCTTCCAACAACCCCAGAGGCTCAGAACAGGCCTCCCCACCAGCAAGGCTGGCACAGACCCTTTTGAAGAAGCCGTTTCCAGGAGAGGAAGGAGCTGAGGATGGATGCCCAGCCGGCCTCCATGCTCAGGAACTGCCCACCCCAGTGAATCGTCTCTGCCCTGGAAGCTGCTGACAGCAGTAGGGGCCTTTCTGGAACCATCTCCCTCCCAACCTGCCTTGACTCTATGCATCTTCAGAGGAGAGAGGATTTGAGTCTCATAGGCCTGAGATACACAACATTCGGTGGGAGGGGAAAGCCTGGATGTAAGGGTCAATTATACCGCCTTATGGGGAAAAAAGTATCCAACTCGGAGTCTGGAATGGGAATGACACACAGCTGGAGACCATTTTCATCAGGTGACCTAAGGCACGCTGCTCCAGCTTCATGGTGACGTGATTCTGTGTTGGTGCTATGGAACCACTGTGGCTTCAAATAAGGAAGGACACTTTGGAAAGCTGAAAGGCAGTGAGGTTGAGGGACTGTGTCCCAGTCATGAGACTGAGGTGATGGGTCCTTGTTATGTCACCCACAATCGATGTCACCTTAGGTGTTGTGCCCTGAAACTCACTAACACCCGTCACCATGTTTACCATGACCAACCCAGGAAATACCTGTTTCATTAACTCAACTGAAGAGGAAGACATTTCGAGAACCAAACCTGGAGACTAAGAGCCTGAAATTGCTGATTAATGGGTCAAATCAGCACCTATGGTGTGCCAGGCACTGTGGCATTGTGGCACTGTGCCAACCCCTGATGTGTTTTGTTTTTTTTTTTGTTTTTTTTTGTTTTGAGACAGTTTCACTCTTATTGCTCAGGCTGGAGTGCAATGGTGCGATCTCGGCTCACTGCAACCTCCGCCTCTTGGGTTCAAGTGATTCTCCTGCCTCAGCCTCTCAAGTAGCTGGGATTATAGGCGCCCGCCACCACACCCAGCTAATTTTTGTATTTTTAGTAGAGATGAGGTTACACCACATTGGTCAGGCTGGTCTCAAACTCCTGACCTCAGGTGATCCACACACCTCAGCCTTCCAAAGTGCTGGGATTACAGGTGTGAGCCACGGCACCCGGCCTGATGTTCTTGAAACAGCAACTCCAGTCCCACTCTGGACCTGTGAAGCTCACAGTTCAGTAGAGGGGTGTGGTGGTTTTTCCAGCAACAACCAATCAGTTAGATTCTCCAACACCATCTGGGTGTCCTACAAGTCAATTCATTTCTGACACTAACTACCCGGATTGAGCCCAGACCCCACAGATTAAGGGCTCAGCCCAACTAAACAGCTCCCATTTCAGATGCCAGCCACAAACAGGGTCCCATGTGCTATGGTGTGAATGTCTGTGTTCTTCTGAAATCCATGTTGATACCTATTCCCCACTGCAATAGTGTTAAGAGGTGGGGTCTTTGTGTGGGGATTGGGTCATGAGGGTGGAGTCCTTATGAATAGGACTCTTAGGAAAGAAGCTAGAAGCAGCTCATTCACCCCTTCAGCCATGAGAGGACACATAGAAGTTGCCGTTGTATGAGGAAAAGACCCTCACCAGACATTGAATCTGCTGGCACCTTCATCTTGGACTTGCCAGCCTCAGAAGAATGAGCAATATATTTCTGTTGTTTATAAATTACCCAGTCTGAGGTTTTGTATAGCAACCCACACAGACAAAAACAGCAAGCTACTTACACTTCTGCCTAGCCAACCTCACATTCGAGCCCCCATCAGGTTCAGTAATTCACTACAAACACAAACCTCAGGAAAATGCTATACTTACATTACAGTTTATTATAAAGGATACAAACGAGCAGCCAGATGAAGAGGTACAGAGGACGAGGTCTGGAAGGTTCTGAGCACATGAGCCTCTGTCCCCATGGAGGCGGGGCACACCACCCTCCCCGCAGGCAGATATCTTCAGCAACCTGGAAGCTCCTCAAACTCCATGGTTTAGAGTTGTTTTGGGCTTTTTGTTTGTCTGTGTGTTTGTTTTTGAGACAAAGTCTTGCTCTGTTGCCCGGACTGGAGTGTAGTGGCATGATCACGGCTCACTGCAGCCTTGATCTTCTAGGCTCTGGTGATCCTCTTGCCTCAGCCTCCTGAGTAGTTGGGACTACAAACACATGACACCACATCTGGCTAATTTTTAAAAATTATTTGTAGAGACACAGTCTCTCTACGTTGTCCAGGCTGGTCTCAAACTTCTGGGGTCAAGTGATCCTCCTGCTTTGGCCTCCCAAAGTGCTGGGATTACAGGTGTGAGCCAGGTGCCCGGCTCCTTTAGAGTTTTTCATGGCAGTTTCATTAGGTAGTCATCATTGATTCAATCACTGGCCGTTGGTGGTTGAACGCAACTCCCAGCCCCCCTCCTCTCTCTGGAGGTAGGGTGGATGATGCTTGGGTAACACCTATGAGCATCTCATCAGCCTAAACCCAGGTGTACCAAAAAGGCTTATTATCAATAACAAAAGGCATTCCCATCATTCAGGACATTCCAAGGGTTTTAGGAGTTCTGTGTCAGGAACCAGGGCAAAGACCAAATCATATATATATAGATATATAGATATATACACATACTGGTGTATATATATAGAGATATATACACACACACACATATATATACATAGATATATATATACACACACGTATATATACCTGTATATATATCTATATATACATATACATATATGTATATGTGTGTATATATACATATATATGTATATACCTATATATAGTATATATATACACGCATATATATGTATATGTATATATATCTTTTATATATATATAGGTATATATATATATACCTGTGTGTATATATAATATATATATATATCTGTCTCTTTCTCTGTGTGTGTGTGTGTGTGTGTGTGTGTGTAATACCATAGGTGGCAGAAATGCTACAGAGACCTGAGGCAGGGCTACAGGGTGGCAGAGGACTGATTGCTTCTTCCGCTAACTGGGCAGGCTGCACAAGGGAAGGGGCCTGTAGTGAGACCCACTAAGGGAACAGTACCTGCCAAGGTTCCCTATGGCTGCGGCATCGGGTGCAGTCTACACCTTCCCATCGGTCTGACCTTGGACTGGTTACCCCCACCTCCAAGCCTCAGTCACACCATTTATCAATGGCGCTAACAACTGCAACACTTCAGGGTTGTTATGGCGTTTAATGAAACCCTATAAGCCTCCAGACCGTGCCTTGCACACCACGCCTTGCGCATATCAAACACTCCATGAATTGAAGCTATGATTATTGGGTGATGATGGTCATGATTAAGGAAAACTTCAGGGGGATAGTGAGAGACTGTGCGTGGCTGAAGCACTAGATATGTAAGTGGCTTGATTATCTCCTGATCTGTGAGACATCTGCTTACTCAGGCAACCGTACACAGACCACCAGACAACTGGCTCCCAGACGATTGCTTAATGGTCCATGGGGCAACCTATCCTCCTTCATGCTGAGGGAACCGCAGGGCTCTCCTCCCTGTACCGGCTTCCTAGAGGCCCAGATGTTTTGCCTAGTTTGGCTGGCATGGGGTCCTAATCTGATCGTGCCGTTAATTAGAAAGAGCCTATCTTTGAAACAACAGCCATAAAATAAACCAAAAATATTTTTGAAACAGAGTGAAAGCACTTTGGATCTAATCAAAACAGGAGGGAGAAGACCAAGTTTTTGTGAAGCTGTCCTCTAGTTTCTGGTGCTTACACCTCCAAATAGGGACAAGAGAGGCTGCTGTTCAGCTGGGTGCGGTGGCTCATGCCTGTAATCCCAGCACTTTGGGAGGCTGAGGTGGGTGGATCACCTGAGGTCAGGAGTTTGAGACCAGCCTGGCCAACATAGTGAAACCCCATCTCTACTAAAAATACAAAACCTTAGCTGGGCATGGTGGTGCATGCCTGTAATCCCAGCTACTTGGGAGGCTGAGGCAGGACAATCGCTTAAACCCAGGAGGCGGAGGCTGTAATGAGCCGAAATCGCACCATTGCACGTCAGCCTGGGCAACAAAAGTGAAACTCCATCTCAAAAAAAAAAAAGAGAGGCTGCTGCTCAAGGGGACCCTTGATGCCTTGCAGGAGGGCAGTGGGGAGACCCAAGGGCCCCTGTTGGTCTGCTCATGGAGAGGTTCATTGATCCAGGAGGGCTGTGGGCTGGTCTTGGGGGTGTGGCCAGCTGGGACCTCAGGGCTGAGCCAAGGGTGAGCCCAACAGAGAGGACACTCTTGCAGCGGAATGAGTGTTTGATCACTGAGCTGCACCTGCCAGCGCTGGCACTCCACCAGGGAAGACAGGAATGAATGGTGGCCAAACATTTCAGGCCAGTTGCTCTCCCTCTGCACACCCACCACCCCCAGGTAGACTCTTCCCCTTGAGATCAGGAAGCCCTAAGTCCAGTGCAAGGAAATGCCCAGCACCCTGTGTTGGGGCCTTGTGCAGGAGGCAGCCAGCACAGCATTGTGGGTGCTGCTTTGCCTCCCAGGCTTGGAGGGGGCAGGGACTGGGCTGGCTCTGGGCTTGGGGCACAACTCCCTGGATTCTATGATCAACACTCCCAGCCCTGGGGCCAGGACCAGGGCAAACATGGCCACAGCTGAGCTCACTGCTGCCTCTCACTGTCTCTGGGCCTGACACGAGCCAGAGCCAGGCCCCCGGGTTTTTAGTTCATTTCCTGATGCCATCTCTTCGTTGAAGAAGAAGAGGGAGACAGCTGAGGAAATGCTGCCAGTGTGGGGCCTTGTGGCACCGTTTGCAGTCTCCTTGGCCTGCAGCCTGCCTGGAGACTCACACGAGGGCTCTCAGCCTCGGGGAAAATGAGATGCCCTGTCACACACACAGCTATGGAGAGAGTGTCCTCTCTCTCCTCCCTTCTGGAGCTCCCAGGAAGCCAAGGCACAAGCTGAGTCTCACTTCGGGGTGCAGGATAATGGAAGCCAAGGACCCAGCACAGACCAGCTGGCGGCCCCATCCAGGAAGTGCCAACCCCACGGGTCACTCTTGGGGACCCTTGGTGGCCCAGCCATTGCAGCCATGCAGAGATGCATTAACTCCCCATAAGGACTCAGGATTGTCATCAAGAAGTACAGGTGGGATTCTGAAGGCAGACCTCAAGCTGGAAGAGGCTAGCTGCATCCCACAGGTAGGCGTGGACATCAAGCAAGCACCTGCCTGCCTGTCTAGCATGGCGCTAGACATGAAGGAAGCAAAAGAATGGAGCACAGACCCTGATGAGGAGCCTGCGTGCTATGCACACTCATTCTCAAATCTCAGCTTGCAAAGAGCTCTATGGATGACCTTTTAAAGGGCAGAGGCCTAGGCCCTGTCCCCTGAGATTCAGATTTGTTCTCATTTATTTATGTATATTTTAGAGACAGGGTCTTGTTCTGTCACTCAGGCTGGAGTGCAGTGGTGTGATCTCAGCTCACTGTAACCTCGACCTCCTGGGTTCGAGCCATCCTTTTCCTCAGCCTCCCGGGTTCGAGCCATCCTTTTCCTCAGCCTCCCGAGTAGCTGGGACGACAGGCATGCACAGCCATGCCTGGCTAATTTTTTAGTGTTTTGTAGAGATGGGGTTTCGCTATGTTTCCCAGGCTAGTCTTGAACTCCTGACCTCAAATGATTCTCCCTGTTCGGCTTCCCAAACTGCTAGGATTACAGGTATAAGCCATCACACCCAGTCAGATTCATTTTTAACAACCATCCCAGGTGCTTATGTGGTAGATGGTTGGTGGATCAACCTTTGGGAATTGCTGGTCTAGAGGGAGTACTGAGCAGAAATCCCCACCCCAGCTCCAGGCCTGAGGTCATGGAAAGGGAAGCTTGGGGAGACTTCTGGGCACCAATCCCTGAGCCAAGTGATTCTTACAGCTGACGGAGAAAGAGGAGAGTAGTTGAGACTGCGCAGGACATTCTAGGCAAAGCACTGGAGGGGCAGGGGAGCACAGGTGAAGACACCTGAAGGCCATGTGTGTATGGCCTGAGAACCCACACAGGCCCTGTGCTTGGGGTTTAACGCATTGTGGTTGCCATTTTGAAATTCTTGGTAATTTTAGCTTTGAATCTGTGTTTTGAACAAGAGGCACTGCAATTTCACTGTGCACTGGGCCCTGCCACTTATGGTCCCAGCCCCACTGGGGTACAGGGAGCTATGGGAAGTTCAGGCGTTGCTGAGGTTGGAGGTGGGCAGTAGGAGTGGTAGAGGGGCTAGAGAGATATGGGAAGGCTACATCCCTGAGGTCTCCAAATGTCATGTCCAGGAGCTCAGGTTTTATCCAAGTAAGGAAAGGATTCAAGCAGGAATGAAGTAGTTAGGTCTGCATTCCACGAGGTCTACTCTAGGAAAAGGGCAAAGGTCGCCCTGCATGCAGATACAGGGGGCCAAGCTAGGCTGTCATGAGGACCAGGCTAGGAGACCAGTAGGCAACTGGAGAAGGGAATGGTCTAGAGAAAACTGAGCGATGATTTGGAATCGGAGATGGGGTTGAAGGAGAGGGGGAAGGCCAGGGTGACTCCCAGATTTCTGGCCTGAACAGCTGAGTTCCCTGTGGTACCACCAGCTGAAATACTTTGTTAGTTTTATTGCTTTTCATTAAAAAAAAAAAATCTGTGGTGGTGTTTATTCTAAGAACACATTATCATTGCTCACATCTGTCAGTAAGAGTCTTTTTCGAATATAAAAGTAACTTCTGAGGCCAGGCACAGTAGCTCACAGCTGTACTCCCAGCACTTTGGGAGGCCGAGGGAGGCTGATGGCTTGAGGTCTAGAGTTCAAGACCAGCCTGGTCAACATGGTGAAACCTCGTCTCTGCTAAAAATACAAAAAAAATTAGCCAGGCGTGGTGGCGTGCACCTGTAATCCCACTTGAATCCAGAAGGAAGAGGCTGCGGTGAGCCAAGATCGCACCACTGTATTCCAGTTTGGGCGACAGAGTGAGACTCCGTCTCAAAAAAAAAAGAAAATAGTATAAAGATTCCTCAAAAACTAAAAGTAACTCTTGTCCTTTAATAAAAGAAAAAAGATGGGGGCAAACATTATCTGGTCCCAAATTTATTTGCCCATTGTATGTCCAGGATAAGATCCAGTTTGTTGGCGAGAGGGTGGGGTATGCATTGAAGGGGGTCATAGAGAGGCATCTGTAGAGTAGTTACCACACAGGGAGTTTCAGCACTAGACCTATCACTTTGTTTACTCTTTATCCCTATCCTGAATATCAGTGTTTTTTTTTTCTTTTGCTAGAAACCCAGAATTGACCTTGGAATTCTCATTCATGTTAGTAAACACATTCTGGTTGTTTGACCAGACACAAAAATCAGTTCTTTCGATGTGACCTTGAGACACCCTTGCTCCAAAAACAGCCACCGTAGGTCTCAGCCCAAATGGGCAAGCATCCAGTGGATCCCAGGCTTAGGGGAAAGCAGGAGCCTAGAGTTAATGCATTTACCGAAACCCCTTTGATCTAGAATCCATCTGACAATCCCACGAGGCCAGACAGGCCTGGAAGGTTTTCAGGCCTTCCTCCGGTTCGGCTGGCTGTGCTTGAGCGCTGTGTTCCCTCAGGCATCTTGGGGCTTGAGCTTTGAACAACTCGGTATTGCAAATTAAAATGACCCTAAGTAGGAATGAAAGATTTTAAAAAGAAATTCGGTTTTGTTCAAAATAGGCAGTGTGCAACTGAGAAACAGGGGCTTTCTTTGAGCCAGTTAAACTGAGTGCAAGATAAACTAAATTCAGCTAAGATAAAAGCCCGAATAAAGTGGCTTTCACAGAAGACATTCAGAAAATATTGCTCTTTATAAATAATAATTATTCAACAGACATTTTACTAGCACTTTTCTGTTGTATAAAAGTTATACATGCAGAGTGTAGACACTTTGAAAACACAAAGTATAAGATGCAAACATGAAATCACCTATGAACCATGACATGCAGGTAGCATTGTCAACATTTTGAGCTGTTTCCTCTCAGCTTTGTTTCAATGCCTACATTTACAAAGTTGTTTTTTTTTTTTTTGAGATGGAGTTTCGCTCTTGTTGCCCAGGCTGGAGTGCAATGACACAATCTTGGCTCACTGCAACCTCCGCCTCTGGGGTTCAAGCAATTCTCCTGCCTCAGCTTCCCAAGCAGCTGGGATTACAGGTGCACGCCACCACACTCAGCTAATTTTTGTGATTTTAGTAGAGACGGTGTTTCACCATGTTAGCCAGGCTGGTCTTGAACTCCTGACCTTGTGATCTGCCCGCCCCGGCCTCCCAAAGTGCTGGGATTACAGGCATGAGCCACCACGCCCAGCCTACAAAGTTTTGTCTAAGTAGTTCCAAAGCATTTTAAAGGTAGAGATAATGGATTAAACTATAATGCTCATTTGAAAAGGAGATTTGCCTAACAGCATATTTTAAGATCTTTTTTTCTAATTAGAGAAATAAAGAAAACTTGTAAAACACAGAAAAGCATAAAAGAAGACAGCAAAAGTCACTTGGATTTCAACCAAAGAGCATTATGATGAATGTTTCAGTGTGTGCCTTCCAGTGTTTTTTTTCTATGTATGTATGTACATTTCTTATTTATTAAAAATACCAGTGTATCCTTTTGGCTGTTTGCTGTTTACAAAACACACATTTGCCCTAAAAATAAATATTCTTCTACAACATGATTTTTACTGACTACATAAATGATATTCCTTTATATAATGATGTATAATAATTTACCTAACCAATCTTCTATTGTAGGATTTGTAGGTTGTTGTAATTGTTCATATTATAAACAATGTCATGATTAACATACTTATGAATAATACCTGATTAGTTTCTTATAACAAATTTCTAAAGTAAAATTGTATTAAAGGAGATATATACACATACATGCATATATAATTTTTTGATAGATAAAACTAAATTGCCTCCAGAAAATTTATACTAATTTATACTTTCATTAGTTCAAGTTTTTGAAAACATGATTTAGAGGCAAATACAATTATCTCTGTTTTATCATTTGGGACAATTAAGGCAGAAACCAGTATCGTGGTGAGGGTTACACAGCAAGTCAATAGGAAAGATTACTTTGATAGAGATAAGAGATATCTTCTTACATGTACTTTACATATATTCTCATTTACAACAAACCTAAAAAGGAGTTATTTTTTAATCCCCATTTCCAGATAAGGAAAGGGGGCTCGAAAATCTCGAAGCCCTGACATTTCTATTCATTCATTATCCAGGCTGTCTCTATGACCACAGACAGCCTGACAATCCAGCTGCAATGTAGTCATAGAATCCTAGTGTGTAACTCATAGAATCCTAGTGTGTAACCCAGTACTACCAACACCAGATAAATCAATCCTTGCAGAAACAAATATTTAATTTTTAAATAAGCCAACAATCTGAACATTCACTGTTTTGATAAATGCAACCTAAAAGATCTCGTCCCCTGGATTTATTTTTCAGGTAAAAATAGCTCCATGGTTATGCCTTCTTAGGGGCTTGGTGGGAGGGAAGGGATGGGGTTGAAGAAGAGAAAAACAACTTCCTTGGAGGATTAGGCAAGGTGTAAGAGCATGTCTTCCAGGTCTAGATTGGCAGACCTCACGCTTTGACTCAGAAGTAGAGAATCTGCTTTGGTTTCCTGACTGGGTTGCCTTGTTTTTCAGCCACAGGGCAAGAAACATGCCACAGCAATGAAATAAAGGTGACATGTCATAATGAGGGAAAGGGAGTTATTCCACAGGCTGAGTCACCGCTCTCCTGCAGGTACAGAATGATACAGCCTACAGAAATTCAGAGCAGACTGTCAGACTGTGGGATTGAGTAACAAAGAGAAACAGGTCTACAGATGACCTAGCATACGCTTATTATTTTGAAATTTCTGAATTGTAAAAAATGAGAATGGTGAAGTCTTAGGTAGATCTAAGTTCATTCTTGCAACAAAAATCAGTTCCAAGTTTGCCTGGAAGTGAGGCATCTAATTCATAAAATAGTGGCTATAGTGACAGTTATATATTTGAGGGAAACTTATCTATAACTTCCAACTAACATACATCTTGGTGGAGTCTGAGTTCTACATTTTTCTGCTTTCTTCCTCATCAATTGTCATGGTTGACATTTGTTCTTTGAAAAGACTGAGTGCCAACCATGAGCTGGACAGCCCACTAGGCAAGTGCAATGACAAAAGAAACAAGCGTTAATCCTGTCTAGCCAGAGCACTAAGGAACCTGCTTATTCTGCGAATGCCTCAGCAAGGTCCTAAAGGAGAGCTTCCACTGCCTCCTAGGTGGGTGCCCCTGCTGGCAAGTTAATCATTCTAGGCCTCAGTTTCCTATTCTATAAAATGGGTGATAATAGTAACTATAAAGTAAGAAATAAAGAAGAGGTCACTGGACACTTGGCCTCTGGCAAGGATCTAGAAATGTCAGCAGCATAATCCTGCTTAACTCACCTCCACTACTGTTTTACCTGCTGCTCTCCAATGCTCACCTGCTCTAATTCACACTGTAGTAGGAAGTACTTTAGGTCAGGCATCAGGGGGCATTGCTTTAGTTCAGACTCCAGCATTTACTATGTACCTGTTGTATGATCTTAATACTAACAGCAATATAGTGATAGAAGCAGCTAATAGCCAACCGTTATAATCATTACTTTGTGCTTGGCATTTTATATAAATTTAATCCTCATGGTAATTTACTGACATAGGGAACATTGGTCTCTCTTTTTATAGGTGAAATAAGTGAGGCTTAAAGAGATCTTGTAATTTGGTCCCACAGCTTAAGTGTGAGGCTGGAATTCACCCAGGAAAGCTGTTTCCAGGTTCTGTGGTCCTAACAATTACTCTGCCTTAATTTTCCCCTGCTGATATTTCTGCCCATAAGCCTCTTATTATTTGATTAATGGTAGTAAAGAATATTTTTAAAAACTATTGCTCTTCAGCATCCTTTTTGAGGGAGAACTTTCCTTCCCCTATTCCATGGGTTTGTTTTGGGGCTGTGGCTTACAGGAACCCTCTCCAGAATCATCCGATGTCCCAATCATACGTGGAGAATGGCCAGAATCCTTCCCTTTGTACTGATGTACACACAACACGAGAAGGAATTTTTCTACTGGAGTTGCTTAGCTGGAGAGGCCAGGAGCCATATTTCTGTTGTGTGGGCAAAGCCTTTCTGCAGTAGAGGAGAATGAGCTCTATAAATAAAGAGAAACATAAAATCATAAAATACAGATAGAGATGAGATATGGTCACTTAGAATTCCTAGTTCTAGTCCAGAGGCCCTGGTTCTATTAGTTACTGCTTCAATTCTGACCAACCCAGTATTTCCAACTATATAAGCCATTAGAGTCTTGTGCTTGCATAAGTGAGTTTATTTTATTTTATTTTATTTTATTTTATTTTATTTTATTTTATTTTATTTTATTTTATTTATCTTGATGGAGTCTCGCTCTGCTGCCCAGGCTGGAGTGCAGTGGTACGAGCTTGGCTCACTGCAAACTCCGCCCCAGGGTTCAAGCAATTCTTGTCCCTCAGCCCCCTGAATAGTTGAGACTACAGGTGTGCACCACCACATCCAGCTAATTTTTGTATTTTTAGTAGAGATGGGGTTTTGCCATGTTAGCCAGGCTGGTCTCGAACTCCTGACCTCAAGTGATCTACCCACCTCTGCCTCCCAAAGTGCTGGGAATACAGGCGTGAGCCACCACGCCAAGCCTAAATTGTGTTTTTCTTAATTGCAATCAAAGAAGCCTAATCAATAGAACAGAGAAGGGGCCTGGGAGTTAGCTATAGACAACAGGTGTACAAATGTGAAGTTACCTATTAGTGAATTAAAGGAGTATTAACGGAGACAATACTTTGAAAAATCAAGTTAATAAGAAATCATGTACCATGGTTTGAATATGTCCCCCAAAGTTTATGTGTTGGAAACTGAGTCCCCAGAGCAATAGTGTTGAGAGATTAGACCTTAAGGAGGTGATCAGGTTGTGAGGGCTTTGCCTTCATGAATGAATTAATGCTGTTATTGCTGGAGTGGGTTCACTTTGGAGGGACCGGGTTCCTGATAAAAGGATGAGTTCAGATTCCTTTCCTTCTTTCTCTCTCTCTCATGCACACGCTCTGCCTTTTTGCCTTCAACCAGGGGATGACACAGCAAGAAGGACCCCACCAGATGCAGCCCTTCAGTCTTGGACTTCCCAACCCCCAGAACCATGAGTCAAATCATCTAGTCTCAGTTATTCTGTTATAGCAGCACAAAATGAACTTAGACATCATATTAGACCCAGACGACACTTTAAAAAAAATTTGGTATGGCCGGGCATGTTGGCTCATGCCTGTAATCCCAGCACTTTGGGAGGCAGAGGCAGGTAGATCACCTGAGGTCAGGAGTTCCAGACCAGGCTGACCAACATGGAAAAATCCTGTCTCTACTAAAAATACAAAAAATTAGCCAGGCATGGTGGCACATGCCTGTAATCCCAGCTACTCGGGAGGCTGAGGCAGGAGAATCGCTTGAACCCAGGAGGCGGAGGTTGCGGTGAACCGAGATCATGCCATTGCACTCCAGCCTGGGCAACAAGAGTGAAACTCCATCTCAAAAAAAAAAAAAAAAAAAAATTGGTCCAAAATCTTCATTTCATAGATGTGAAAATTGATTTGCAAATATACAGGGTAACTGGCTTGATGTTAGGCAACTAGCTAGGAATAAGCCTGGGATCTAGCTGAATTCAGGTAGCCTCAAATCTTTTCCAATGCTTTTTTCACCACCAACTCCATCTACCCAGATAGGGAAGTAGATGGTCAGATAATACAGAGATAAATGAATGTATAGAAAAATGAATAGATAAATGGACAGATAAATGGATAGATGAATGAGAGGTTGATTGACTGGTAGATAGAGACAGGTTTAATAAAGCAGGAGATTTAATTGTACAATAAAAGCCATCAGCAAATTGAGATTATGCTAGGAAACAGAATAGTTGAGAAAACCCTGAACTAAAAGAAAAATCTAGGTTCTTATTCTGACTCTATGCTAATTCGCTGCGTTACCTTGGACAAGTCCCTGAGCCTCAATTAGACATATAAACGGGGATCATATATGAGAGTAACTTTGTTAACTATGATAATTTCATGAATATGAGATGATCACATCTATTTATGAAACTATACTGCATTTGTGTACTCATATTTAGAGGGCAAGTTCCATGAGGGCAGAAATTACACTTATCCATTGTTATTTACCAGTACCAGATGCTCAATAGGCATTTTTAAGGCAAATGAACAAATTGATAGCATGGTTATTACTTAACTGCTCCTCTTCACCACTATGACCCAGCTTGGCTCATGGACTCATGCAATCAATATGGAAGCTGAGTTAAAATAAAAACGACACATGCCAAGAGGGTCAGAGGAGTAAGAAAATGACATCATTACCCCCTTGGCCTGAAGGGTTTCATCCTAATCAACTCTGAGGACTGACCTAGTCTTCTTAACCTCCTATAATCTCTAACCCAATTCTGTTTGTTTTTTTCTTTCTCCCAACACATTCATATTTCCTATCATTTAGGAAATGTCCTTTATGTTAAAAATACATATACATATGGAGGAAAAGATATTAGATCCCTACTTCATACTCCCTAGACATCAATACTAATTAGATTTCAGACTTAAATCTCAGAAGGAAACCTCTCAAACTTTTTGACCACGGAACAGAAGAAAGACTTTTTTTTTTTTTTGAGATGGAGTCCTGCTCTGTCACCAGGCTGGAGTGCAGTGGCACGATCTTGGCTCACTGCAACCTCTGTCTTCTAGGTTCAAGCGATTCTCTTGCCTCAGCCTCCCAAGTAGCTGGGACTACAGGTGCATGCCACCACGCCCAGCTAAAATTTTTGTATTTTTAGTAGAGATGGGGTTTCACCACATTGGCCAGGATAGTCTCGATCTTTTGACCTTGTGATCTGCCCACCTCGACCTCCCAAAGTGTTGGGATTACAGGCGTGAGCCACTGCGCCGGGCCAACAGACAATTTTTTTTAACTAGACCAGAAAAAAAAGTATGACTCATAAAAGAAAGATTGATAAATTAAAATCCATTAAAGGTTAACATTTATGCTCATAAGATGACTCCACTCTCCAATTCCAATTTAATTAGGAAGTTAAACCTGTGTGTGAGTGTGTGTCACACTTGGGTATCACCACCCCACAGGTGAGATGTCTGCCATAACCCAAATGGCAATAATTCAGGATGACAGACACCTGGCAGGAGCTTCATGTTCCCAAGAGGGCTTTATCTAGATAATCTGGGGACTGGGGGATGGAGTGTGGGTGAACCTGTGGACCTCTTTTGCTACCTATGGAAATAGAATTTAATTCACATAACCAAACAGGTGTGTCATGAATACCTTGACAGAATGGATGATATCTTATATTTCCCTCGATCTTAAAGGCCTCAAACTGGGTCTGGCATGAAACAGGCCTTTTATCCATGAAGGGACAAAACATAGTATAATCCTCACTCAGACAGGAAAGCTACTATGGAGAACGTCTTCACCCCAGTTTTCCCATAGCCTTCTTGTTCATTACTGTGGCTTTCCACTCCAGCCTCTGTTGGTTACGAGCCTCACATCCAGAAAAGCAAAAGCAATCGGCAGAACAATCCTAATAATAACAACATTGGTCTTGTGTCTTACAGTTTGCAAATGATTTCCAAATATAATTTCTCATCGGAATCTCACAACCACCAAATACGACCAGGCATTATTCATCTGATTTTACAGATGAGGAAATCAAGGGTCAGAGAAGTGATGTGACTTGCCCAAGGCCCACAGATGGTAGGTGGCAAAGCCAGGACTTGGAATCCAAGATAAAGAAAACTCAGTGGGAAGGAGAAGTTTGTGATTAAATCCAATTAAAGGAATAGAGTAAAATAAAGAACACAGTAAATTTCTCACCAGGAATGTGTTCCGTTTTCCTCTTGGCTTTTGAAAATGAGGCTGCTTCTGCTATATTATCTGGTGGAAAACACATCATCAAAGTCAATGGGACATCAGCCCTTCTCTTGGGTATTTGTTGAGGCTCCTCTGCACGAACACACACCTTTTGCTTCTGTGTTTGCCCCAATTTTCCTACCTTTCCGACCTCTTGGATTAGGACTCTGGCTTCCAGTATTTGCCTAAGGCCCTTCTCCGAGTTAGGCAACCTATTTCATTATAATTTTGAACAATAGAGATAATGATACTAGCAGCCACCCTCAATGGGGCCCTACTTATTATGGGCTAGCAGTAAGCACTTTGCATGCATTATCTCATTTAGTCTCACAACAATTCTATGAGGTAAGAACTATTTTTGTCCATGTTTCACAAAGGAAGAAACTGAGGGACAAAGAGATGAAGTAATTTGCCCAAGGTCACATTGCTAGTAAGTGGCAGACCGAAGACCAAGCTGCCTGGCTGCAGGCCCTCACCCCTGCCACCACCCTCAGCTACCTTTCCCTAGGCTGTCCAGCTCAGATTCCCTGGCCTTGTCACCCCACGACCCCCAACTGCTGGCTTTGCACAGTCCTTCAGCTTTCAGAAGTGCAGCGCTCTAGGTAATAACATTCCCTCTGCTGGCCTCTTTCCCAAGATTCTCAAAAGAGACAAAGCCCATCCCCAGAAAGTAGATGACGTACTTGGATGCCACAGTGCCCTCAGATCTCTCCAAAGAACTGGGGCCCTCATTCTCTCCGCTGCAAAGGAGAGTTGGCTGCTGAGTGTTCACAGCTGAGACCCTCTCTAGGACTTGCCCTTGGCTAATGGGAGCCACCTGGCTGGGGTTATTCCCCCTTCCTGGGAGGACCCCACCTTCAGTAATTGGTCAATGCAGGATACAAAGGCCCTGCCTTCTAGCCCTAATTGGGGCCAACTGGGAAGGGCCATGCTCAATCCAGAGCTCCCCAGGGATTGGGCGAGGCCTCTGTTGCACCTGTTTCATGGTTCAACCTCTCTTTTTCCCCAATTCTGCATCCTTCACCCCTGGCAGATGTTGACCCCAAAGCACTCTCCAGTAAACATCTTGGCTTGCACACTGCAGCCTCAGACTCCGATTTCCAGGGATTCAGCAAAACACAGAAGTGTGTCCAGTATCTCTGAGCATGGCCTCCTCCTCCTGACTGGCAGAGTGAGGCCTCATGTAGGATGTGGTATTAAACCTTTCCCAGGATTTGGTTTTCCTGCCCACCTGGTTTTTGACACTGCCATATGTGTATTCTTTTTTTTTTCCTTTTCAGTCCACTAGAATGTTCTGGAGTTCATTACCATGTTATGGGATTCACCTATACCTTCAGCCAACAACAGGGCTGTATTTCTAGTCCAAGCCTTCACTTGACCATCCTACTACCCCAGCAATGCCTATGAGTGACCTAACCTGGGACCCAAGACCTGCTGACCACGTTATTTACATGGGCCAGGCATAATGGGCAAAAGACATGCTTGAAATGTACGCATGCGAAACACACAAGCAGACACAGGCAGGAATAGGAGCATCATTCGGTCTTGACAGGGTATATCTCTACAAGTAAACCCAGGAGGCCTTGGCTCACTGTCCTGTTTTTTTCCTCTCAGCTCAGACCCTCATTTCTTCCATGCAAAGATGCTGTAATAACTTCTGACAGGCCTCTTTATCTCCTACCTCTTTGACTTTAATCTGTCATACACATTGCTGCCAGATTTATCTTCCTAAATGAAGCTCTTATCATATCCTCTCCCTGCTTAAAAACTGCATGCTCCCCACTGCCTACCAAATGAAATGCACATGTCTCAGCCTCGCCTCCCAAGCCCTATCCAATGTGGCTGAGATCAAAGTGGGCTGCTTCTTGGCCCTCTGTGTTTTCTGGCCTCTGGGACCATGCTCATTCACTTCTCTTCAAACACTTTTGCCAGGAAATGTTGCTTGATCCGTACAAATAGCTGTAAACAGTGTTTGGACTGTATTTGTTTAATAACTTCACCTTAGTCTCCCTTAAATGACAATTATCTGTGAGCTTGGTTTGCCTTCCCTCCTAGATTATGAGCAGCTGGGTAGAAGTCACACCCCTGACCCCAGCACCGCAACAGCATCAAATACGTAGTGGGCTCTCCAGAAAGACTTGTGGAAGTGATTTATCATCTCCCAGTTAGACCACAGATTTATTCTCTTTCCCTTCTCCCTGCCTTCCCACCAATCTTTATATTCCTGAAATAAATATATATTGATGTTATAGAAAGTAGTTATTTAATCATAATATATATAAAGCAACAGACAGTATATTGAGACCCAACCCTAAAACGTGCTTTGGAGAGGGAGAATTTATAACCTAAGGTAGACTGCAAATGAAGTCACTGCCTTAACCCATTAAGAAGGAAAATTATGATTTTGAAATAATGACATTTAAACAATGGACTAAATCCAGGGTAGAGAGAGGACTTTTAAAAATACAGTGTAAGCTGGCCGGGCGCGGCGGCTCACGCCTGTAATCCCAGCACTTTGGGAGGCTGTGGCGGGCAGATCACGAGGTCAGCAGTTGAAGACCAGCCCGGCCAACATGGCCAACCCCCGTCTCTACTAAAAATACAGGCCAGGTGTGGTGGTGCATGCCTGTAGTCCCAGCTACTCGGGAGGCTGAGGCAGGAGAATCACTTGAACCCGGAAGGTGGAGGTTGCAGTGAGCTGGGCTCATGCCTCTGCACTCCAGCCTGAGCAACACCTGAGCAACAGAGTGAGACTCTGTCTAAAAAAAAAACAACAAACAAACAAACAAACAAAAAACTGGTGTAGTCTATCTAGAAATCAAAGATCAGCAATATAAAAAACTTCTAGAGAAAAAGGTGGTGAGTTTACTGGAAGAATTCAGGGTTAGTGCATTACCTGATACTCTTTCATAGACAACTGGACAAATGGCCACTACTGGCTGGTGGGCTCACCTCTGCGGATTCTGACATCTCTGCCAGGCAGCTCAGGTTGCCGCCCTGCCTCTGCCCCAGGGCCCAGAGTCCCAGACCTGCAGACAATGATATCATTATACCACCGCCTAGGCTGCAGAAACAACTGCCTCCTATTCAACCACACTTTCCCCTTATTTTCTTGGAGTCTTGTCCCTGACAAACGGCTGGAGGCTTCTGGTAGGAAGCAAAACTCAGCAGCTTCAGAGATCATGAAAAAAGCATCGTGATTCAAAGAGATTCTTAATGAACGCAGCGGGGACTCTGAGTTGCATTTCAACCTATTTCTCCTCCTCTGGGCTTTTGCCCCTCTGTTCTGTATCATGAGACTTCTCTCCAGATATGCAGCCCTGTTTTAGGATGGGCTGTCAAATTTGGAATTGGCCCTGGTGATGAGAAAGGAGGGATCCCTCTCCTTCTATTTTCTGTAACAAATGGATGTCAAAACTGACATAGGCTCAATGTTTAAAAGTCAAGTCATTTAAGATGGGTAAAGTACTGAGAAACACTCAGAATAGATTCAAAGTCAACAAGAGAAAAAAATCTGGATAATGATATTTGTAAGAAGGATTTGTGAACTGCAGAAAAAATAATCCCAATAAATATTTGTCCATAGTAACACTTGTTTATTTTCTGTAGTGTTGCCTTCAGGGCAAGGGAGGCCATGAGCCAGTTCTCACACTTTAAATAGCCCCTAGACATCACACAGGCATACACACATACACTTACTAAAGTGCACACAGACACCCCATCACTTGAGCCCCAGCGTTCAGTGCAGCCACAGCAAGCTGCAATCTCAACATCCACTCTTTTGGGCAATGCTGCTCAGGCCCCAGGGACGTTTCCTCACACTGCCTGTCCTTGCATCTTGCCTTTGCAATAAAAGGCAACTGTATCCAAGTACTGAGGTGTCTGTGCAACCTGCTGTTGACTTCAGAAATGCACACCACTTCAGAGTGTGGAGAGGATGTGAGCATCAGAAGTGCTGATAAGAGAAGACAAACTCACTACCTTGTGAGATTCTTCCTATCATACAGCAAGGATGTGACAGATTCTTGCATAATAAAGAACTATTTCCCAACAGAGCCAAGAGTTCATTTTCTCACTTCTCTTCCCATTCCAATTCAGGATTCCAGAGGTACTAAAATATTGCACACAGTAGATGCAACAGTTCACACACACTGTGGCTAACATTTTGTAATAGTACATAACTCCTATTTCTCTTACCTTTATATATAAATATAGTTGTAGATGTAATATGTGTGAAGTACAAAACCAGTTCTTTACATTAGCAACTAAATGGTCTTTGCTAGAATTACAAATCGTTTTCTTTTCATAAAAATATGCAATAAAATGTAATTAAATCATTTAAAGATTAAAAACTCTTCAGATCTGTTTAAATAATTTTATTTTAATTTTTGATACTTATTAATTTGCATTTTGGTTATAATGGATAATTTTGAATATTTGAGAGGAAAAAGAACATTTTGAAACATCCAAAATAATTAAATCTTTAGTTTTTTATATTAACATTGATTTACATATTGATGAAAATGCACTCAAATTGTGTATATTTTAATATAATTACATTTATTTTCAATCTGTTAAATTATTGCTATCAATGGAACACAGATTGTGTGAAAATTTTGATTATAAGAATATAATCCATGATTTTTCTGAAAGGAAGGCAAGAAAATAAATTGTATTAATAAATATATGAGATTTAATGAATTTATATGTGTTTATTCTTATTACTCATCCAGACATTGCTAGCTGAATAACATCCCAGACAGGCTCACAAATGATCAGACTCTTTTCTCCTTGAGATTTTGCTAATTCTTGTCATATTTTACATCCATTATATCACAGCTTTACACATATTTTGTACCTTTTGTGATAAAAGAATATTTGTCAAGATGGAAGGATGGAACATACTTAGCAGTTTATTTTCTTTGTTTATTTTTTAATATCTACACACATAGCATCTGTGCCCCAGGCCCCCACATATAAAGGCGGGAGCAGCTTCCCTGACCACTGTGAATGGTGGCACCATGGTGTTTTCCTCCTTTTTGTTTTTTTAGTTTTTGAGATGGAATCTTGCTTCATCACCCAGGCTGGAGTGCAGTGGCATGACCTTGGCTCCCTGCAATCTCTGCCTCCCAGGTTCAAGCAATTCTCCTGCCTCAGCCTCCCAAGTAGCTGGGATTACAGGCACCTGCCACCATGCCTGGCTATATTTTTTTGTATTTTTAGTAAAGATGGGTTTTCACCATGTTGGCCAGGCTGGTCTTGAACTCCTGACCTCAAGTGATCCAGCTGCCTTGGCCTCCCAAAGTGCTGGGATTACAGGTGTGAGCCACTGCACCTGGCCACACCATGATCCATGGTGTTTTCTTTTCTTTTTTTTTTTTTTTTTTGAGATGGAGTCTCGCTCTGTCACCAGGCTGGAGTGCAGTGGTATGATCTTGGCTCACCGCAGCCTCTGCCTCCCAGGTTCAAGCAATTCTTCTGCCTCAGGCTCCTGAGTAGCTGGGATTACAGGCACATGCCACCACGCCCAGCTAATTTTTGTATTTTTCGTAGAGACGGGGTTTCACCATGTTGGCCAGGATGGTCTCAATCTCTTGACTTCATGATCCACCGGCCTCGGCCTCCCAAAGTGCTGGGATTACAGGCATGAGCCACCACGCCTGCCCACCATGGTGTTTTCTAACTTTTTTTTTTTTTTTCTGAGACGGAGTTGCTTAGCCGCCCAGGCTAGAGTGCAGTGGTGGGATCTCGGCTCACGGCAACCACCATCTCCCAGGTTCAAGCGATTCTCCCATCTCAGCCTCCCAAGTAGCTATGATTACAGGCACCTGCCATCATGCCAGGCTAATTTTTGTATTTCAGTAAAGACAGAGTTTCGCCATGTTGGCCAGGCTGGTCTTGAACTCCTGACCTCAGGTGATCCGCCCGCCTTGGCCTCCCAAAGTGCTGGGATTACAGGCATGAGCCACCGTGCCCGGCTGTGTTTTCTAACTTTTATTGAGAGCTCACACTGGGACAGGCATTGTCCCAAGTGCTTTTGTGTATTTCATTCACCCTTGCTACACCCTTCGAGGTAGGTACTGCTACCCAGTTTCCATAAGGAGGCTGGCACACAGGGAGAAGTCATGGGTCAACTGGTTGCCAAGTGTGGTGGGTGGTCACTCCCCTGGCCTCTTGAACCTCAAATCCCTCTGCAGCCTGGGCCCTGGCCACTTCATCCTCTCTCCTTAGCAGAGGCTGAGGAGCCTCAACTTTGTCTATTCCCTGTTTGTTTCATAGAGACCATTTTGTTGAATGCTTTTATTATGTTGCCTGTTACACATCTGTTTTAAAAATCTGGATCAATATATCTGTTTTGGATTTCAAGCTGGTTAGGATAATCTAAATCTCTATATGCATGTATAAACAGGCACCTCCAAAATTACATTTTTTGCACAATTATATTTGTAAAACCTTCAAAACAACTTAAAGACCTAATACACAACTGCATTAGTGACTCAGTTAATAAACTTTGAGACAGCCATTGAATGGACAATCACGAAGGAAGTGAAAATGATGGTTATGAAGGTATCGTAAATACTTATGACAGATGGGAAATACTTCTGACAGATACAATGTTAAATTTTAAAAGTACCATATAAAATTACACATATCACATGTCATGATTATGTAAAAATTAGTATACACATGAAAAAACACACAGAAAAAAAGACGAAGAAAATATAGCTAAATGTTCTTAGAAGCTGTGTTTAACATAGTAAATATTAATGTATTGGAATGACTTTTTTCCCTTTTTGTTTTAGTTTTTTTTCTATTTTTAAAATGGTTTCGGATTAGATTAATTTCTTTTTATTTCTTTTTTTTTCTTTTTTTAGAAACAGGGTCAGGGTCTCACTCTGTTGTCCAGGCTGGAGTGCAGTGGTGCAATCACAGCTCACTGTAACCCTGAACAAGCTCAAGCAATCCTCCCGCCTCAGCCTCCTGAATAGCTAGGACTATGCATGCACCACTATGCCCAGCCAGGTTCATTTTATAATAAAAATATACGATTTATTTAGAATGCATTTTTTTCTGAAAACAATAATGATGAATTTTAGCACAAGTTCACATAATTTGCGAACAGGCATACCACCTAATTGTTTATATAACACACCTATTCCCCCACTACCTTCCTGGGTCTGTGCAGTCTTTAAGAGGAAAGCAGCCAGGTGCGGTGGTTCATGCCTGTAATCCCAGCACTTTGGGAGGCCGAGGTGGGCAGATCACGAGGTGAGGAGCTCGAGACCAGTCTGACCAACATGGTGAAACCCCGTCTCTACTAAAAATACAAAAATTAGCCAGGCGTGGTGGCACACGCCTTTAATCCCAGCCACTTAGGAGGCTGAGGCAGGAGAATCGCTTGAACCCAGGAGGTTGCAGTGAGTGAAGATCATGCCACTGCACTCCAGGCTGGGCGACAGAGCGAGATTCCATCTCAAAAAAAAAAAAAGAAAAAAAAAAGAAAAGCTACCATGGCAGAGGAGAGTCTCCATTGCTGGCTGTTGGCAAGATGCATTTTGTAGATCAAGCATTTTAGCCTTGTCTTATACATTAGGAGGAGCAGAGATGTAAATATCTGAGAGTCTTTAGGCTTTCATACAAATTCTGCAAACGGAAAAGTCTTACCACTTCCTAAAGAAAGTGTTGTTCCTCAAATGTTCCCTGGACCTGGAGCCACTTGGTCAGTGAGCTCGAGATAAAAGCAGCCTATGATTTGAATGTGTCCTTTCTTCAGTGACCAGTGCCTGTGAGTACGCCACAGCTCCCCCATCTTTGAGAGAACGCTGGCATCCTCACAGGGACATGCCAATTCGGAAGCAAGCCTTGAGGGCCACAGACACATCTACAAATATGCTGGGAAGACATTATCTTTTAAGAAGCTTCCACTAGCCTTACTGCACCTCTGCCTCACCTGTGCCTGTCTTGGTTTTTAATAGGTGGTAAATGTCAAGAACAGAAAAGATTTACTCAATGGAAAACTTATACCTTCTCTCTCTCTTTTCACCTCTCTTTCTTTTCTTCCTTTCTCCCTTCCTTCCAAACACCCCCACCCCAACACACACACACACACACACGGTACAGTGCCAGGTACAGTGCCAAGCACTGAGCAAATAGGGTCAAATCAGATCTGACACAGGCTTCCCAGGAGCTAGAGATCTATACCTTCCCACTGAAAGGGTAGTGCTCAGACCAGCAGCACCAGCGTGGCCCAGAAGCTTGTTGAAAACACAGACTCTCAGGCCCCACCCTGGACCTGCTGACTTGGAATCTGGATTTCCACAGGCTCCTAAAAGTTTGAGATGCACTGGCCTATAGGACTCTACAAGGGCAAGCCTAATTTCTTCTGAGTGCAGTTATGATAAGACCTTGGGCTGGCATTATTATTTGGCTTGCATGAACAATTTTAGCTTATATTTTACAAATATCACCTGGAATTGTAGGTGACTCTTACAGGAATCACAGGCTAGGTCACAAGGACAGTGATTGCCTGTGGGTTTGGAAAGTCCTCCATCCGGACCCCTCATCTGTGGGTATCTGTGGAGCGGGACAACAGGGACAGGGACGGAGATCAGGGGAAAGAGGAAAGGGATATTAGCTTCTGTGGAGGAACAGACAGAAAAGAGGAGGAGTGTGGGATGAATGCATCCATATGATAGTGATGTACCTGGACCTGAGAAAACAACGGTGGCAGAAATGCCCTCCTGGTGGCTGCGTCTGAGGAATACACCTTCCTCTCTGGCTCAAAAACCCAATGGCTCCCTGTGCTGTGCCTCCTGAACCCGTATAATGTGCCGCTCAGCACAAAGAGTCCTTCCAGGGCCCAGGAGCACGTGGGCAGGGGGACTGTGAGGGGGCAGGGACACGAGTGACTTCCACCTCTCTCTCCCAATGCTGCAGAACGAAGCGTTCTTGGGAGTTGCATACAACTTTTTTCTTTTTAGAAGAAATAAGTCTTATTTTTGCTAGGGTAAGCCTTCTTCTACCTAGATCAATTAAATTGGAAACAATGCACATTTCAGAAAGGATGCTTCAGGAATAAAAAAGATTTTAGAGTTAGGCTAGACACCTCCTGGGGGTTGTCCCAGACCTTACTGGCATCAAGTAGTGGAAAGGTGTTTCCAAATCAGGAGTTAGAGGCTAAGACCTACAGCCTCCCCCGAGTCTCCAGAATCTCCAGACACAGCCTTAAGCAGATCTCGTCATCACACAGGTCCTGTAGAGAGTACCTGTGATCTTTCCTTCCTTTCAGCCATCTGACTTTCTGCTGCATTGGGCAGAAACCAACTCTTGACGCTAGACGTTATCAGGAGGGAGAGGCATAGATGAAGATTTATATGTCTTCCTTCCATAGTAATTCACATGTACCAACAACATAAAGGCTTTTTTTTTTGCATGTGCAGATACAGTTCCAGTATAATTATTCTAGATGGAAATAAAACTAGTAAGTTTCTTTTCTCCTATGGTCTATGAAGAAACAATTTATAAGGTACCAATATCTCATATCTCTTTTTGTTGTTGTTTAGAGACAGGGTCTCTAAACGCAAACATTACCGAGGTTGGAATGCAGTGGTACGGTCATGGCTCACTGCATCCTCCAACCCCGGGACTCAAGCAAGCCTCCCAAGTAGCTGGGACTACAGGTATGTGCCACCATTCCTTCCTATTGTTTTTATTTTTTGTAGAGACAGGGTTTCCCCCTATGTTGCCCAGATTGGTCTTGAATGTCTTGCCTTAAGCAATCCTCCTACCTTGGCCTCCCAAAGTATTGGGATTACAGGTGTCAGCCACCGCATCTGGCCAATATCTTGTGTCTTAAGAGTTGTACTATTCAAACTATACACAGACCATCAAGAATCCATCAAAAGAGCCAAATGCAAGACAAAATTCCTAGGAAAATGGGACAAACTGGTATTGGAGAAGAAGTATCTGGGGCAAGGAGATAAAATCTCCTGAAAATTGTGTTGACATAAAATTGCAATACACCTAGTACCACTAGGAGGACAAACTACATGCTCTCTGAGGAATATGGCTGTTAGTCAACCTTCACTATACATGTGACCTGAGACCCACACTTCCCATTATGAAGGCAGAAAACCATATTACTTGCTAAAAATGGCTGTAGATTAAACTCATGATATCTTTTCTAGTATGTATTGAAAAATGTTTGATCATTCTGTACCAGAGATTATAGATTCATGGCTCTACTCAAAGTTCTAGAAGGCTAATGAAAAGAGCCAAGTTTATCTATCAAAGGGAAATGAGAAAGATACTTTTTAAGAGGGTGGGCAACTCATGGTTCTTCAGGTACAAGTGAATATGCTTGTCCATTCATACTATACCTATCTTGATGAGGAATTAAGTTCTTGACAGAAAGATAACTTTTGTTTACACTGACACATTTTGGAAGATTCTCAAATGGAAAAATGTAACATAAACTAACACATTGGAGCAGGAGTTACCAGGGTCTTCTGCTATGGTTATCTGATGATAAATATTCATTTATCCATTTACAAACACTATGGAGCACAATGTTAATTACATTACTTTGGACACAAGCAACCTAGACTCTCCCTTCTACTTAAAACAATAGTTTTCCATTGTTCTTAAATTAGAGTGAAACTCCTTAATTTGGCTGATAAGAACATCCAAAATTTAGGATTGCTCCTTTCCCAATCCATCTCTTACCAACTTCCTTTATTTTCTCTTACCCAATCTAACGCATTTGTTTTCCTTTCTAGAGTGTGTGTCTGGCTTGGAGCAGATCCTCTCTCTGCCTGCATACCTCTGCCAATCATTTGGTTGACCAGTTAACTCCCTGTATTAGTCTGTTCTCACACTGGTAATAAAGACATACCCAAGACTGGGTAATGTATAAAGAAAGGAGGTTTAATGGACTCACAGTTCCACATGGCTGGGGAGGCCTCACAATTATGGTGGAAGGTGAATGAGGAGCAAAGTCACGTTTTACATGGTGACAGGCAAGAGAGCATGTGCATGGGAACTCCCTTTTATAAAACCATCACTTCTCGTGAGACTTATTCACTATCATGAGAACAACATGGGAAGAACCTGCCCCCATGATTCAATTAACTCCCACTGGGTCCCTCCCACGACACAAGGGGATTATGGGAGCTACAATTCAAGATGAGATTTGGGTGGGGACACAGCCAAACCATATCACTCCTCCTCACCCTCCAGTCCCAACTCAAACATTTATTTACTCAGCAAGGCCTCTTGTGACTCCCTCTCAATTAGGTGAGATGCTGTATTTTGTGCTCCCATGCTATGTTGTGAGCCTCCATCCTGGTTTCATCCCACTCGTGGTCTTTGTTTATTGCCCATTGGAGCAGGTTGGGCTCCTCTCAGCTGAACCCATGAGTGGGGCAGCTTCTTTTAAAATGACCACGGTCCTGGCTGGCACTGGGACTGGCCCACATAATGCAAATGCCAATCAAGACAAGGGACTGTGGGAACAACCTGAGAGACATCAGCGGTGGACAGAATAGTTTTTGTCTTTTGGGATTTCATCGTCTCTTATAAGGATGGGAAACACACCCTTTAAAAGGTGAAAAGCATGAATGTGCTAAGTAGCAAAAGGCACAGTGAGTGTCTAGAGGTGGGAGACTGTCTGTCTGCACTTGGGGGCCTGCAGAAAGCTGGATGAAGAATTTAGTATTCGTGCTGATTACAGGACAGGTGGAATTTCTACGGCAAGACTCGGTGGATGCCCAGAGGCCCGTGTGGCCGGGTCAGTTAGAAGCAAAGTCTGCGAGGCACAAAAACCTGAAACTTGTGCCAAGAATAGACAATCTCATATTTTGCAGAGTTCATAGGCAGTTAGACATTGATTTTTTTTTTACAAAGAGGAATTGAGTCTAAATATTTTAAAGACTTTTTCATCTAAGGTAACTCTGAGGGCATGTGAATAATGCAAGAATCGAGTTTAGGCTTCCTGTCTCTGTATTCTCTGGAAAGTTTATTTGATATCTTAGTTTTCCCTCATGCTCCTCCAGAATAATTCTCGAATATGTATTAAAAGTCCATGACACAGCAGATAGCCATCTGGCCTCTGAGCCCAGTGTGTTTGTGCGTACGTGTGTGCATGCGTGTGCATGCATGCGTGTGTGTGTATGTGTGAGTGCACACATGAGTGTGTTTGAACACATTGAGATGGAAGGGAGAACAGAGCGAGTGAGTTGTATTTCCAAAGATGGGCAGTGTCTCAGTTCTGACGTGGTCACAACTTTGTGGGGCTGGAGGAGTGCATTACCCTACCGGTGATATCTTAAGCCAGGATTCCCTTTCACCCACTGCAGACAGAGCATAAAAATATCACGGGCAGGCAACTTTCCCAAACAGGGAGAGGCAATTCACTATCATGGACAATGTTGTCTATTGAAATAAAAACAAACTGGGGGCAGGAAGGTTGAACTTAACTGAATGTTTTACCCCAGGTACTTGGAAGGGCAACAGTGCCAAGGTACCTCTGGGAAACCTAGAGGGCCAAGGTGACATCTCACATCCACCCACAGGTGAAGTTCTCCCATTCCTCCCCAGGAGGCTCTGGGGCCAGCCCAGCAGCTGACATCCCCAGGCCCAGGCGGGCCCCTCTCCAACAGACCCCCTCCCTGTCCTCCCTCACCGGTCCCACCCCCTTCCTGCCACAGCCACTGAGGCTCCTTATCCGCTCCTCAACCAGCCTTATTTTCGAGCTACCCAAAAATAACAACATTTGATACGATGGCTCGGAAAGCTTTGGCTGGGGTCATGTTTCCAAATTCTTGACTCAAGTATTGTAAATGAGAACTACTTTTTTTTTTTTCCAGTCAGGCTATTTTTTCCCTCTTTTTTTTTTTCTCTTGAGATGTTGGGCGAACCCCAACCAAGGAATCAGTGCTTAATGGGTCACAGGGTATAAATAGTAGTGTTGAGACCATAACAGAAGGCTCTTTGTACTATCATGCAACTGAACCTCAAAAAAAAAAAGCTTCCAAACAGACCAGCATGGGGCTCTGTGGGGGCGTCTAGCATTGCTGAGCACAAGCTATATTCTATATTTGTCCACTCCAACATTCCACTACCGATATCTATTTATGGCTTTGCCATGTACACAGGATACCCTATTCATTAAATATATGCTCAAAAATGTCAGTCCGTATATATTTTTGTGCTGCTCATAGTTCACAGACATACACTAAGCAAATCCAGTGTGATCTGGATCGCCGGGCTCATGCTCTCAGCCCCTAGCTCTGTAGTCCTTGTTCTTGTTCACATGCAGCAAGGTTTTCTCATCCATAAAATGGGGATAAATGTGCCTGTTCCCTAGAAGTTGGCTCTAAGTGATATGTGGCACTGCTTTGAAAATTAAGAGACAAAAATCTGTGGGCTTCTTTCGCTTTGAGGCACTCTTTAAATATGAGCTATTATCCTAATTAAACTAAATTTTCATCATGGGGTCAGTTTCCTGATGAAGTTAAATGGGATGATCCAAAGTCTCTATTAATTTGCTACCAGTCATTGTATTTGGAGACCCTGGGGGATCCTGAAAATTGATTAATTATGACAGGCCTGATGGTATATTTCTGGGTGATTATGGCAAGCCTTGGATGGTATTATTAGGGATGCCCATTTTTATGTGACAGTGAAATTCATAGGCTTTAACAGAAGTACTATCATCCCACTAGCAGGGACCAGGCTGAAGGGCATGTGACTTAGCAACTGACAAGTGCAATAATTCTCAGAATTTTGTGGCCCAGAATTTGCGCCGGCTACTAAGAACTGGGAGTTTAGAAACAGAAAGTTCAGGTTACAAGCCTACTGGGCAGGAGCTCAAACTCCTGGTTCTGGCAACAGGTCCCGGGCACTCGGGGGTGGGCCAAGGTTCTGACCATTCAGTGTCCTATGTTTAAATTGTGAGACTGTAAGCAAAAAGAAAAAAAAATTATTGGAAGGGTTCTCTTACCTTTTGGAGACAGTAAAATAAAAATCTCCTTTGGCAAAGGGCCTCTTTCTTCTGTGGGCTCTCCTACAGGGCAGCACTGACCTCTGGTCTGCCATGACCCCACCTCTCCAGCTGCCCACACATCCATCTTCCAGTGTGTGTGTGTGTGTGTGTGTGTGTGTTTGTGTGCGTGCGCGTGTGCGCCGTTGGAGGGTGGGGGAAGGAGGGAGTATATTCTTGTTCAAATTGCCAGATTAACCAGAAAATTAGCAGGAAGACAAGGCAGCAAAGTGAAAACTATTCTGTACAGTAGAGGTTCTTCATAGATCATTCGACCTATTAATGAAGTTACCATTTCAGCAGCAGGTATTTGAGTTGAGTTGCCAGGGGAGAGAAGGAAAGAAGGGTATAGGCAACGCTGCTTAGTCCTCGAACTCACACGGAACATGGAGAGCTACATTCTTAGTAATACCAGGGATCGTGCAGTGAGCATTTCCTAGGCAGCAGACACAGTACAACACACTTTACATAGCTCATCTCATTCAATATGTACAAAGTCCTTATGAGACTGGTACTAGCTTATGCCCAGTCTACAAAGGGAACAGAGACTCAGAAACTAATTTGTTCAGGATTAAATAGTGAATCACGTTGTGGACACATAATTCAAATCCATTTTTTTTTTTTAATGCCCAAACCTGGGCTGTTAGCAACTTTGCTAAGCTTCATTCCTTTTCCTGCACCTCTCCCTAAGCCTGCAGCCATGCATCTAGGACTCAGGGATATCTCTGGGTGGGGGTAGAGGTGAAGTCAGGCAGAAGTGTCAGGGATGAAATGTCACAGTGTTATTATAGACCTAAGGACTGGCCCTAGAGGAGGGGGCTCCCATCTCCTGGCTCCTTTCCAAGCTGGTAAGAGCCTGGCAGTCATGCTGGAGAGACAGGGGGGACATCTAAGCTGCTGAATGGAGTTCAAGTCTCCACCACCAGGGAAAGTTCTTCTCTCAGGGTCTTCCTTGCTTTCTCCTTGGACCCAATCTGTCCGCAGGAAGCAGAATTGCTGGAGAGCTTGCCTTTAATTGATGCTTGGTGCTTAAAAGAATGGTATCTGGCCCGCAGCCAGGAACCTCTGCGGGGAGATGTGAGCTTACTCTCTGGAGTCCTCTCTCTCTATGGCATCAATTGATGAAAATAAAATCTGCATTTCGTGACATTACTATATACCCATGAAATAGGATTTAAAAGGGTCCTGATTGGTGAAAATAAAAATGAGTCAGTTCTCATTTGCTCAGTTTTACCCTTCAATTCAAAAAGCCTGTGCTCTGTATCTTAGCCTCTCAGAGGCCACACCAGATTCTTGTACGGTCTGCTCAGCCTCCTCAAACTGCTGTGACAACAGCCCTGGATTCTCGGATACACTGACACATGTTTCTAACCCTCAATCCTGCCACCCTCTGCTTTTGCTCCTCCTGCTGAGAATTCCCAAGGGAAGAGCTCTGAGATCTTGACCCTCTTCAATCCCAGTTCAACACAACATCCCTTTGGTTAATTTCTGAGAAAATATCCCAAGTGGTTATTTCAGATAGTTTTCTTGGACTTACTGCTTCTGTCTTGAGTTCTGAAAGTCTGCGTATCTGTGCCCTCCTGTGTAGGCTGGGAGCTTCTTGAGGGCCTGGCTTCTTTCTTTTTGCCCTGGCACCCAGCATAGTGCCTGGTGCATGTGAATGATAAATCACGCGTGTCGAATGCATGAGTCAGTGGGGGAATGAATGGAAAAGCACTGCTTGGACAGCACAAATACAAAAACGGATCTACAGACTACATAACCAAAAGACTTCTCTACACACACATCCTGAGCACCAAGGAAACTTCTGTTTGGGCTGCTGACCATGAAATCTACTCTGCTTAGTTGCTGTGTTCATCTTCGTCCTCCAGTCTGGACTCTCAGTCTCCCTGACCCAGAACTCCTCGGCCCCAGCTCTGCTCAGCCCGACCTGGACCCTCGGCAACCTGGTCCGTTTCCTGTCTGATGTTCTTTAACATCACCCACTACCACTCTTGGCCAACTCTGGAGGTAGGGGGAGGAGAGGAAGATCTTCTTCTGCCTTGCGGCATGTCCCGGCATAACAGAAAGTCATTCTTATATGCTCATCTAGGCATTTAGACTTCTTCCAAGATTGGGTGGTGCTTCCATTCTCATAAACGACCCACATTTGCAACCTTGGAGTCATCGTTGAAGCCCCCTTCTTGTCCATGCCCTTAAACAGGTCAGATTCTGAGTCGTATCAGCCCCTTCTTTGAAATGTCTCATCTGCTCCTTCTCTGCTGCCATCCTGGTCCAGTTGCTCAGAATTGGGTTATCTTACTGGCCTGTTGGCAGCCTTAATCCTATCCCCGCCTTGTTCCAGGGTCAGCTGCCTGACTTGCCACTGTCATCATGGGCCACACTGAATTCTTGGCCCCTCCCTGTGCATGAGTTTCTGGGCCCCTGGAAGTTTCATCTTATCCTATTTACTTCCCATCACGTAGACAGTCCTTCATGCTTCCCAAAATATAGGATGCTAATTTCTGTCTCTTTGTCCCACCGCTCATGTCCCTCCTCTCAGGTCTCACTTGAGTCTGTCTTCTCCATGAAAACTTCCTTTTCCCTTTCACTCCCCTCTGTAACCACCATGCACCCCTAATCCAAATCCTACCGCTCCACACCTGCATGCGTACTATCTTACACTGGGTTCATAATTGAGTGTGCATTAGCTTGAAATTGCCAAATAGGCTCATAAGTTCTTTGGGAACAGAATGTGAATCTTAACTTGTGTTTCTCGCGGTACCTGCTGGAGAGAAGAACTTACATATTATTATGCTTGGGTTCATGATTGACTAACCTTTGCTGAAGAAAATTGGGGAAAGTGTTAGTTCACAAACATTATACATATTTTGCTTGGGAAAAATGAGGGCTTGCAATGGGGATTTTGTTGACATTGGCTGCTGCTGCTACTTTCATTTCTGCTTTTTCTTTCTCCTTCTCTTTCTCCTTTTCCTTCGTGTTAATCAAATCTCTCTCTCTCTCTCCAGTCCTTTTGCTGTAGGCTATAAGACTGTTGGATCATAATAACAATCTAAAATCTCCAGTACCACACACGTAGGAGGCACACAATAAATGTTTGTCAAATGACTTAATCCATGAAATATTTTATATCTAGAATCCTTAAAATCCCATAGCAGTGGCTGGGCGTGGGGTTCACGCCTGTAATCCGAGCACTTTGGGAGGCCAAGGGCGAGCAGATCACGAGGTCAGAAGTTCGAGACCAGCCCGGTCAACATGGTAAAACTCCGTCTCTACTAAAGATACAAAAAATTAGCTGGGCATCATGGCATGTGCCTGTAATCCCAGCTACTCAGGAGGCTGAGGCAGGAGAATCGCTTGAACCTGGGAGGTGGAGGTTGCAGTGAGCCGAGATTGTGCCACTGCACTCCAGCCTGGGCAACAGGGTGAGACTGTCTCAAAAAAAAAAAAAAGAAAAAGAAAAATCCCATAGTGGTTAAGCCAAATACCTCCTTTGTTTTTAATTCCTAAACCCAGAGCTTTCAATGTTTGAGTATCCTAAGCACTACATCCATTTCTATGTGTTTCTCTATTCGCTCCTCTTTCTTCCACTTCTATTCTGCTCTATCCAATTTTCTGCTATCCTCTTAACAGTGATTATTTGGCTTTCAAAACATCCTCTCATGAAATAAAGTTCCATGATTATTAATTGCAATTGTTGGACATTATCATATTTGCTATAGCAAGAGATAATCCATGAAGATTAATCAGTGTGAAATGTGCAATTTATGAAATGACCTTTATATACCCTAAGGAAAAAAAATTAACACATTAATAGAGATGAGTTTGCTGGTGCATTTGTTACTAGACTCTCCAAAGGTGATCATACATATTTCTAGAAATCACCTTGCCTTCGGAATTGGAGCCCCAGATTCAAGGTATGTGTGGTCTCTCATGTTTCCCCTAAACCACACTGTATTGAATTTGAATAATCAACCTGCATGTATAACGGGGCTGTCAATGAGAGTTAATTAATAATGTCACATGGCAGGACATTGCATGTTGTTGAATCACACTGCTACCTGCCACAGTAGAACTGAGGGACCTATGTGAGTGCCCCTTGAGAAAACCTAAATAAAAATCAGGAAGAGGAAATAGAAATATTCCATTGACTATTTAGGTCCATGCATAGATAGTATGTATTTTAAAACTAAATAATTTATGTTTTCTTTGTGATAGCGATTCCACATTTTATTCAGCATAGCAATCATGACAATTGATTCATAAAAGCAACATTGCCCAATCAATGGACTAGAAATACAGTCACTGTGAATATAAATTCTTTCCTCTTCTAACGATCCCAAGCTAATCATTTCAGCTCTTCTGGCTCGTTTTCCTGATTAAACCAGGAGAATAAAGACAACAGTAACATGTGACTCCTACATTAGCAAGCTAAGCATGAAGAATGAGTATAAACCCGTCTGTAAGCAAAGGGGTTTGGGGGATTTGTATAATCCATTCCATGGCACGTCTTAACTAATATTCCCTGTACTGATAAGGCCAAAAAAAAAAATGTAACTCTCAAATAGCAAAAAGAAGAAAATGGGATTAGAGTTAGATCAGCTTCACTTTATAACTATAAATAATTTAAAGCAAGTCGCTCGGCTTTGCCTCAGTTTTCTGTTCTGTAAAAGTGTTTCTTAGAGGCGGTTATGAGGATTAAATGACCCGACAGAGGCAAAACAGCTTTGTAAACCATAAATCATTTTGTTCGGAGTCAACAGGATGACTTTTTCCCCTCACACAATTTAGAATTATGTACCTGTTGAGGTAGCAACGCCCTCGTTTAATCCCAGCCATGTTTGGTCCCCAAATGCCTCTCTCACTCGCCCAGAGTGATACTGAGGCCACAAAAAGCTCTGCTGTTTTTTTTTTCTCGTGGTCTTTCTCAATTCCAACGTGGTACACAGGTACCTGGCGTGTGTCTGCTCAGACAGTGGATGGCCCTTGTTCAAAGACTGATGGGAACACCTAGTGTACGAGGTGGCGCCGGGGCCGCCCACACCAACAGGCCGTGTGCTCCCATCTCACTGTGCACGAGGAACCGGTGTGCTTTTCGGCCAGGCTGCATCACCCTCCCTCCCTTGGCTTTCTGTGTGACGTGCCTGTGCCAGAGACTGCAGTGGCAGCACAGTAAAGAGGGAAGAGGCCTAGAGAGAGGGCGGGGTGGAGGAGGCATTTTACAACTTGCTAAGATGTGTCTTCCCACCTCAGTTGTTGGTTTTTTAAACAAAAACAAACTACAGATCAAAAATCTCAAAGAACCCCCTCTTCTGGGCTGCCCCAACTTGTCTCTAAGCCACCTTCTTCCTTCATTCTTTGTCCCTGCCAAGCCACTAATCAGAACAGCGTGAATCATGCACCTCAGCTCTGGGTGGCTCCCAGCAACATCCCAGATCCCGCAGTTGTAAAGCCAGCTGCTAGGAGTTTAATCCTGTTGAGGTGAGCACTCCCTGTGTCAGAGGGAGGGGCAAACAGATCAGGGACAAGGACATCTGAAGTGAGCACATGTCCACCAGCCACGACCCCACTCTGCCATGCTGTACTGATACTGCCCTGATATCCACACAGGGAACACCCTTCTTTCCAGGCAGCCCTGCTTTGGAGGCTGATGTGGAGTACTAAGTTTATCTCCCAATATCCAGGCCATTCCTCAGCCACTGTGCAGCAACCATTTATTGTGGTGGGACTGATCCTACTCCCAATTGCAGGGAAAGACTCCTAACTAGATGCCAGTCAGGGCAATCCCATGCCTTTGCCCTGGGATTGGTTAGGGCATGGGCAGACCTGAGCCAATCAGAGCAGAGCTTTTCCTTGCCCACGATGATGATGTCGGGACTGAGCCAATCAGAGGGAAGCTTGGGACTTGTTCTAAAAGGAATGCTCTGCCCTCTTTCCTCTTGGATGTGAAAGAGAAAGTGCATCATCCTGTAAGCAGGAGGGAAGCCTGCCTGAAGATAGTATCAACATAGTGAAGGTACAGACACGAGAATCAGAGAGAGAAGATGCTTAAACCTTAAGCAAGTCAGACCTAGGGTCTACCTGACTGTAGATTTTATTAGTTCCCAGAGCCATTAAGTTCCCTTTATAGTTTAAGCCTATTTGAGTAGGATTTTCTGTGATTTTTGCCCTTGAAAGCATCGCAACTGGTAGAGGCGTCATTGTCTGGGGATGGAAAAGGAAACTTGGAAAGTGGCCATGATGGTTAATGTCATGTGTCAGCTTGGCTAGGCTATGGTGCCCAGTTGGCCAAACACCAGTCGAGATGTTGCCTTGAAAGTATTTTAAAATGTAATATTTAGATCAGTAGACTTCAAGTAAAGCAAATTACCCTCCATAATGTAGATGGACCTCATCCAATCAGCTGAGGACCTTTAAAACAAAGACTGAGGTTTCCTGAAGAAGAAGGAACGGGACCTCAAGTTTACAGCATAAATGTCTTGCTTAAGTTTCTAGCCTGCAGATTTTCAGACTGAAGACTGCAGCATGAACTCCACAACAAAATTCCAGCATGCTGGCCTGCTCTACAGATGTTAGACTTTCCAGTCTCCACAATCACATCAGCCAATTCCTTAAAATCGGTCTCTCTCTTTCTCTATCCTATTGGTTCTGTATATTAGTCAGGCTCTGGAGAGCCCTGACTTATACAGTGGCACCAAACTTGTTTACTAGGAAGGGACAGGCACTGGTTCAACTGATTTGGTGGCAAAATCTGATTTGGGAGATGATGGGCTGGGATGAGGTGCAGCAACCTAAGCTCCAAGAGTCTCAGACACAGTCCAGAAAGTGGTTGGCATCATGGAGCCCAAGATGAAGTAGCAGAGACTCAACAGGAAGCCATAGTATGGTGACAGGGAAACTGGACAGAACACCATCCCCTAGGAGATGCTGGGAAGAAAACAAGGCAAGCAGCAGAGTCCTCTTCGCTGTACTGGGGCTTATGGTAGATCTCCAGTCCTAGAAGAGACCTAAGGATGTGGGGACCGGGCAACCAAATAGAGCCTAGGCATAGGCCAAGGCACAGTCCTGTCCCATGGACTTGCCCGACATGGGTCCAGAGAGAGAAGAAGTAGCTAAGAGGTGTGATCTAGGGGCCTGGAGCCACCTAGAAGCCTTTCCTAAGGACAGTAGCCCTGGGGCTTGGCAGGGAAGGAAACCCAGGGAGCCACAAGGGAACTCAGAGCTACAAGATGATCTTGGGACTGGAAGAGGTCCCTCAAAAGTCCACTTCATGCTTGGGTTAGCCTGGGGACTGGGGCGGATGTGAGCCTTCATGGTGGGACCTGGGAGCCCAAAGCAAAGGAGTTTCAGTGTCTCTTCCTCTACGAACCCGTCCCCCTTGCTACCTCACTTCTGGCAGAGTGACTATATCTTCCCTATGCCCCCATGGTGTCTTATAAACGCATTTATTATGGCTCAAGGAAGACAAAGCAGGTAGGCCATAGCTCCCATCTTAGCAATCTTACATTGAGTCTTGACCACACATTGAAATGAGACACTCATTTGTATAGGCCCCCAATTAGTAGCAGAGGTATTTCAAATCTCTTGTCAGATATGCCCAAAGGAACCAGCCTCCTTCTGTTTCTATATTCAGACTTTGTCTCTGGTGGCCTTTCTATGGGGACTAAAGTAAAGGGCAGCAGGTCTTCCCAGCCTTGCTAGGAGGAAGGCTGTGGTCTCTTCTGGTGCCTTTGACCTCCTGGCTCCCACTGTGGACCTCATGGCAAACTTGAGCAGAGCATTTCTGCAAGGCAGTGCAGAAACGTGACCCAGTGACTTATAACTGCACAAAAGCCATGAGAACCAGCTCACAGAAAAGGCGGCATCCTCAGGACGAGCTTAGGATTCGGAAGAACTGTGTTGGATACATATCTCAGGTGGTCAGAGAAGAGTTCATCAGTCATCTTGATATTTGTAAAAATGTTGTGTAAGAAAAGCAGGTTCCCAACTTCATCACTAAAGCAAAGCTCGCGTAGAAAATCCCAAGTTAGACAATAAAAGTCAGCATTTTTATGTTACTTAAGAGTTCGCAGAGCGTTTTCATGCTCATAATTCTATAATATAAGCATTAGCGTTCCCTCCATAGCTAGGGTGTGATGAGTGATATATACATTTAGTTAATTTAGCATAAAACTGACCTTAGCCCTGGCTGCCAGGGAGAGACGGAACCAAAACTAAAGCAGCCTTCGAATCCTCCAAACCAACCTCTCTCTGACTCCTAGAACATGGCGCCCTTTCTTGCTTCTCTTCCCCATAGCCAAAAAGGGACCAGAGCTCCCCACAGTGGGGCTTGTAGGAGCCTGAACAGAGCAGAGGCACGCAGACTTGCAACTGAAGACTTAGAGCAGAGTCTGCAGAGCACAAACAGGACAGAGGACCAGAAATCCATTACCACTGGAAGTGGTGGGGTTGGGTTCCACCAAGTAGGGGTCTGGAGAGGGGTCTCTGAAGCTTGAGGGTGTTAAATAGTCATTTAAAGAAGATTGGCCAGGCGCTGTGGTTCACACCTGTAATCCCAGCACTTTGGGAGGCCGAGGCAGGTGGATTGCTTTGAGTTCAGGAGTTCAAGACCAGCCTGGGCAACATGGCAAAACCCCGTCTCTACTAAAAATACAAAACTTAGCCAGGTGTGGTGGCATGTGCCTATAGTCCCAGCTACTCGGGAGGCTGAGGCTGGAGAATCTCTTAAACCCAGGGGGCAGAGGCTGCAGTGAGCCGAGATCATGCCACTGCACTCCAGCCTGGACGACAGAACGAGTCTCCATCTGGTTAAAAAAAAAAAAAAAAAAAAAAAAACAAAAAAAAAACTATCAGAGGAACTCTATCCACAGAAGACCTGAGTGGGAAGGCTGTGTGAGAGGAAGAGCAGGTGAGGTTAAGTCACCTTCCCAGAACTCTGATGCTTCCTGCTTTGGGATAAATAATAAGACCCCACATATATTATATCACAGACTCAAGGAGACTTTGCACATTGCTTCATTTAACCCTCACAATGAATTTAAGAAACAGGTACTATTATTATTCCCATTCTACAGATGAGGAGACTGAGGTTTAGAGACATCAAAGAACTTATCCATTGTCAGGTGGGATAATCCTTACCTATGTTTGGAGGACAGTATTAGGACATAATGATTGGAGTCACATGATATGATTAATGTCTGCTTCATAATCAGGTCTCACACACCCTGATTGCTCCTATCTGATTCTTCCTGACAATCTCTTAAAGAACAAAACGTAGGCCGGGCGCCGTGGCTCACGCTTGTAATCCCAGCACTTTGGGAGGCTGAGGCGGGCGGATCATGAGGTCAGGAGATCGAGACCATCCTGGCTAACATGGTGAAACCCCATCTCTACAAAAAATACAAAAAATTAGCCGAGCGTGGTGGCAGGCGCCTGTAGTCCCAGCTACTGGGGAGGCTGAGGCAGGAGAATGGCATGAACCCGGGAGGCGGAGCTTGCAGTGAGCCGAGATTGTGCCACTGAACTCCAGCCTGGGCGACAGAGTGAGACACTTTTTCTCAAAAAAAAAAAAAAAAAAGATAAATAAAAGAACAAAATGTATTTCCAAGGACACACAGCTAAGCTATGGTGGAGCTGGGATTTGAAAGCAGTCAGGCCTTTAGCCATGACACTGTTCTATGTCCACTTAGCAGAATCTTTCAAAACACAAAGAACTGCTGCTAACATGCTCCTAAGACTACCCAAGAAGCTGTTAAGTGAGTCTTGCCCTACCCGCACCGCCCTCTGTCTCTTCCCATGCCAGAAGGTGGAAGACCACAGTGACTGATCAGATGGCAGCAGCACCCACCTGTGACCCAGCAATCAGAATCAAGTCCCACCACTGTTGCAGGCTGAGCCTGAGCAAAGCAGTCCCTGCCACAAGGAGAACTGCTTCTTGCCTACTTTCTCCTGCTTTACCTTAAATCCCCCTAAACTCTGCACCTGTAAAAGCATCTCAAGACACATCACCCTTCTGATTGGGACTTTGATGTGGTTACCATACGCCCTCTGACTGCTTCTTTCTGTTTTTTTTTATCCAGGTCTGTCTGTGCGGACCCTCTGTCCTGGCTGAACAGCATTTGTGGGGTCCCTGTGTTTGCTCAACATCCCAAAGCCCCCTTAATTTTAGATCCGCTGAGCTCTGCTCTTTCTCTATCCTGCCTGGCCAGCCCCACCTCATGGCTGCTAGCCTCAGCATTCTCTCCCGAGGTAGACTGATTGGGTTTCCATTGTATCTTATAAATACATTGTTATGGCTCTTTTCTTATTTTCCATTACTTCTCACCATATTTCCCTTGTTGAGATTAGAAACTAAATTTATTCCTTTAACAAATATTTACAGCACACATGATCATGACAGTGGGTGTACTAGTCCGTTCTCTCATTGCTACAAAGAACCACCTGAGATGGGATAATTTATAAAGAAAAGAGGTTTAATTGGCTCACAGTTCTGTAGGCTGTACAGGCAGCATGGCTGGAGAGGCCTCAGGAAACTTAGAATCACAGCAGAAGGCAAAGAGGAAGCAGGCATATCTTACGTGGCGGGAACAAAAGGAAGAGAGAGACAAGGGGGAGGTGCTACACACTTTCAAACAACCAGATCTCGTGAGAACTCTATCACGAGAACAGCAAGGGGGATGGCACTAAACCATCAGAAACCATCCCCCATGATCCAGTCACCTCCCACCAGGCCCCACCTCCCACACTGGGAATTACAATTCAACATGAGATTTAGGTGGGGACACAGAGCCACACCATATCATTTGGGGTCACTTTGCCCTTCCTCATAGAGTTTATGGCAGCAGTCCCCAACCTTTTTGGCACCAGGGACTGGTTTCATGGAAGACAGTTTCTCCATGGACCTGACAGGAAAGGGGTTAATGGTTTGGGGATGAAACTGTTCCACCTCGGATCATCAGGCATTAGACTCTCATAAGCAGTGCACAACCCAGATCTTTTGAACGTGCAGTTCACAATAGGGTTCATGCTTCTATAAGAATCTAATGCCGTGGCTGATCTGACAGGAGATGGAGCTCAGGAGGTAATGCTCGCTCACCTGCCGCTCACCCGCCGCTCACCTGCCGCTCACCTCCTGCTGTATGGCCTGGTTCCTAACAGGCCATGGACCCATATGGGGCTGCAGGCTGGGGGTTGGGGATCCCTGCTCTACCGAATGCAGGGCCTAGGGTCTGGGGAGACAAAAACTTACAAATTAGTAAATAATATATAACATCTGATGAGACAAAGTACTAGGAAGAAAAATAAAAGAGGAACAGAGACTATAGAATGTGGAGTAGCTTAGCATGGATAATTTTATATAGTGTATCAAATATATTATGATAGCTGAATAGTGGCCCCCCAAGATGTCTCTGTCCTAATCTTCTGAACCTGTGAATATATGAAGTCACATGGTAAAAGGGATTTTGCAGATGTGATTAAATCAACCATTTTGAAATGAGATCATCCTAGAACTGCTTAGCTGGGCCCCATATAATTACAAGGATCCTCGTAAGGAGGCAGGAAGAGCAGTGATGATGGAAGCAGGAACTGGAGTGATTCAAGGAAGGGACCACAAGCCCAGGAATGCAGGTGGCCTCTAGAAGCTGAAAAGGCAAGGAAGTGGCATCTCCCCTGAAGCCTCCCGAGGAAACCAGCCCTGCCGACATCTTAATTTTAGATCATGGCATCCAGAACTGTAAGATAATCATTTGGTGTACTTTTAATTCACTGTTTGTGGGACGTTGTTATAGGAGCAAGAGGATGCTAATAGAGGGTGGTCAGGGAAGATCAGGGGACTGATCAGGGAAGATCACTCATCAGGGGACCTTGGCATAGAGACCTGAAGGAAATGAGGGAATGAGCTATGCATACATCTGAGGGAAGAGCATTCCAAGCAGAGAAGAGCCATGAGGTGGGAGCATGCTTAGCAAGGTCAAGGAATGCCAGGAAGCTGGCGTGGCTAGCATGAACAAGGATAGGAGCCATGTCTGGGAAATAGCATTGCCTTGATGGCCATTGTAAAGACTTTGGATTTGACTCTGAAGGAGATAGAAAGGCAAGAAAAGGATTTGAGCAAAGGAGAAACAAGATCAGATGAATATTTTTAGGGTTTATTCTGGCCGATGAACTGAGAATAAGTTGCAGAGGACAAGGGCAGAAACGGGAGGAACAGTCTGGAAGACTCTGCAACACCCTAGACAAGAAATGATGGCGGTGTCTAGTAGGTAGTGAGATGTGGTCAGATTCTGAATATATTTTGAAGGTAGAACCAAGAGGATTTGCTGATAGACTGGATGGAGAATGGCTGAGAAAAAATCCAAGTGAAAGACCACTCTAAGGTCTATGGCTCAAACAACTAGAAGATGGAACTGCCATTTTGTAAAATGGGAAAGACTGAAAGGGGACTGTGGTGCGGTGGTGTTGGGCGAGGGTGGGAGGGAGATCAGAAGTTCAACTTCAGACATATAAATGTGAGACGTCAATTAGATATTCAAGCGAACAACTGAGTAGGTAGCTGGATATACCAGGCTGGCACTCAAGGACGGAGGTCTAGGCTAGAGAAATAAATCTGAGAGTAAGCATATAATGTTATTTTAAAACCATATTTCTGGATGAGATTGCAGGGAGTAAGTGTAGACAGAGAGAGAGGAAAAAAAAAAACCATCTGAGGACTAAGCTTAGGGGCACTCCAACAAGTGAGACGATGAGGAATCAGTGAAAGAACAGCCAGTGAGGTTGCAGAATGAAGAAAGTGGTCTCTGGAAGCAAACTGAAGATACTGTTTCTTAATACCTTTATATTTAAGGTTAGAAAGAGGTGGAGCTGGAAGTTAAGAGTAAGCCGTCTGACCCCAGAGGCCATGTTATTTATCATGAGATATATGTGGGGAGTGAAAGAGCAAGTGAACCAATGAACAAATAAGTGAATGAATGAATGGCTATGGCCAGATGTTGGTTCCTTCATGTAATTTTTCCTCTCCAATCTCTCAACTCTTGCACATGCCATCTCTTTTCCTTTCATATTTGTTTATTTAACAATAAATATTGTTATTTATTTTAAAGTGTTTGTAGACATGGTGTCTCACTATGTTGCCCAGGCTGGTCTCAAGTGATCCTCCCACCTCGGCCTCCCAAAGTGCTAAGGTTACAGGTGTGAACCACCACATCCAGCATCTTTTCCTTCTTAACTGCTTACAATTCATCTTGTTCACGAAGAGTTTCAACCTAATTCCATCCATGTCCTCAACCCCTCAGCAAACATGGCCTAGATGAAGGATCTCTGGCTTGGTCTGGTCATTCCTTGAGACTCAGCTCAGCCAGTATTTGTTACTGAGACCTTGAATCATTTCTTTCCAGTGCTACAAATTTTGAGGCTGACAAACCCAACTCTTCATGACCTCTGAAGACTTATTCATGAATCCAGTGGCTCCTGTGTAAAGAAATATGATTTACAAGAAAATTAAATGATTTTTTTACAAACACAACGTTTTTACCAAGGCCAAAATCCAATGAAGATGCTCTTATTTCCCATTATACATCATTTTTATTGATTCCTTATTTAAACAAACCTTAACAAAAATGAAATATGTTCAAACATATTTTCAACCCACTCACCTCCAGCTGCTACCAGCCACACATATACCATCCTTGCTTTTAAAGTCATAAATGGAGTGAGGTAGACCATTTTGGTGGTTCATAGGCAGGCTGAGCCTTGAGTAAATGAATCTGAGCATAGGGTGTTTCAAGAAAAATATGCATATTCTTTTTTTGTGATATTTTTAGTTCCAATGAAACTATACATCCTCCAAGGTGATGATAACTTCGAGAATCTTCTGGTACTGTGATTGAAACCCAGTGAGTACTCTAGCTACAAGACACTGGCCTGAGACAATGCATTTTCTGTGATGACAGCAGGGGGAGCCCCTTCTCTCCAGTGTTTCAAAGCGATTTGCTATTATTCTGTTTAATATAATAACTGAAAGTCTCTATTTTGGGTGGTAGGCACTCACTGTGCCCAATCACCTAATGATGCCCTGTATGACAGCACCTTCTCATGTCTGGTTGATAAATGAAAAACCAGAAATCTGTCATAGAAATTACCTAATTTGATATTTTAGCCCCCTCTGAGGCAAGTACATCATATATATATATATATATATATATTTTTTTTTTTTTTTTTTTTTTTTAAGACAGAGTCTCACTTTGTCGCCCAGGATGGAGTGCAGTGTGGCGATCTCGGCTCATTGCAACCTTCGCTTCCCAGGTTCAAGTGATTCTCCTGCCTCAGCCTCCCAAGTAGCTGGGATTACAGGCATGCACCACGGCGCCCAGCTAATTTTTGTATATATAGTAGAGACAGGGTTTCACCATGTTGGCCAGGCTGATCTCAAACTCCTGACCTCAGGTGATCCACCCGCCTCGGCCTCCCAAAGTCCTGGGATTACAGGCGTGAGCCACTGTGCCTGGCCTATATTTTTTTTTAATAATTGCAAAACAGACACAAAAGCTAATTGAATTACCTGAGATGACTGCGCAAGTCCCAAGAACATCTGGAGATTTCCTGACCTTTATTCTAGTGGTTTTATCTGGGGGCAGAACTGGACAATTCTGAGGTGTTTTCAGAAAACCTTGAATTTGCATCTCTCAGCATAGTTCCCTCTCAAAGGTCTTTGTGAAGGAGCAGAGCCACTGAAATTGCATTGCTGCTGTGTTAAAAACAGCCACAGGAAAAGAGCAAGAATAATTTCCTAGGAATTGCATTTCAACCCGGAAAAGCTTCCAGATTCCTCAGTAACATATATAAAGAGCAGAGTGCATTGCATGATTTCCATCTCAAACTTCTAAATGGTTTTTGTGCCTATTATCTAGAAAGAAAAATATGTTGGTGAAGGAAGTCTTTGGGTAGGGTTGTGTCTAGGAATTCACAAGCCTGAAGCAAGGCTTTTTTTTTTTTTTCTAGCCTCCTATCCATTCACCGGTTCATTCACTTTTAAACAATCACTAAAACTATTACACAATACTTATTCCACAATCTAGTTGCTACTTCTGGTAGCCAGCACCCTGCCCCCCCAACTCCAAGGCTGGTGATGGAGAAATAGTTTAATGTCAGTTTTTTAAAGTGACAGGGGTCATGCTGTTCATTTTTTGAGAAAATACTGCAGAGTATTAAAGGGAATAATTAATAAAAATTAGCAGTTAACTAATTGGGTAGAACCTCAGGTGCACAACAATGCTATGATCAAAGAAAAACTTTTTTCTTCAAATTTAAATAAAAGTTTCTTGATAGAAAGTAAACTCATTTTCAGGCAGTCAGTTGTTAACAGTACTCTGGGCAGTTCCCATAGGGGCATGTCCTGAGGTTTGCTTAATAAATACATTTTTATTAGCATGCACCATCCATTAGTGCTAACACAGATGCTTCTTAAACACGCGTGTTTACTTCACCAGCACGGAACATTTGGCTTATTATAGCTGCAGCCAAAAAAAAAAAAAAAAAGCAGCATCATGATTTCCAAAAAGGGAGTGACATTTGATTTGGGGCAGCTCTTGTCATGCGCCATCTCCAACTTAGAAAATCCACCCTGTACAGCCCGGCCCGCGTCAGGGACCCTTGCAGGCGGCAGCCACGGCTGCTGCTGACGCGCGTTTGATCTTTTCTGGGCCACCGAGGGCTCGCCACACCCCTGCTCTGGCGCGCACGTTCCTCGCTCGGCCTCGCCCAGCAGGAGCCAGACCTTTTACTTTATTTGGTTCACCACGCGGTCTCTGCTCCAGAGAGCGCGCCGGCGGCGGCGCACTCGGGCCCTCGCGCGCACTCGCACATTCTTCCCCGGGAACGCGGGCGGGGGGCGCGAGGAGGTGGCCGGGCCCGGGCTGCGGTCCCTCTAATTATAGCCCGGCAGCTGGCGCGCTGGCTTGGCCTGGCGCTCGGGGCCAGGACTGGGCGGCGGAGCGGAGGGGCGGGGCGCACCGGGCCGTTTCCCGTTTCCGGGCCCGCGCCCCGCCCCGTCCCGTCCCGTCCCGTTCCGTTCCGTTCCGCCCCGCCCCGCCCCGCCCCGCCCGGGGTCGCGCGGCTCCACGTGCGCAGAGCCGGGCGCGCGGAGACTGCGCTGCTCCAGCCCGGGAAAAGTTCTAGAATAGAGGCGCGGCGCAAGTCAGGGGGCCGCCTTGGAAACCGCAGCAAGGGCTCCTTGTGGGCTCCAGGCTGTTGGAGAGTGAGGGAGCCTCCTCCCCTTTCCTTCCCGTGGAGTAAACAGAGCTTGGCAGGGCTGGAGGCTTTCTTCCTTTTAAAAAGTGCCATTCTGAACAACGATACAAAGTGAAAAAATAAATTTTTTAAAAAAGAAAGGGAAAAACTACAATTTGACCATTCTGACCAGCCTCCTTGTTCCAACTGGCCTCTTGATTTGTATAAAGATAATGGGGTCCGGCGGCCCCCTTGATGCATGAATTGCACGCTGGGCATAATGAACTTATTGTGCGAAAGCACTTTGGACTTCGGACTGTGTTCCTATGTCAGAATTTTACTGTGGTTTGTAAGATAAACTGGAAGGAAACAAACTCGTGGTTAACTCTTGTCAATACGTGTCTTGAACCAAGCAAAGTGACATTTCCTACCTGTGGCTTTGACTTTAAGCTGCACAAAAGGTAGGAGCTAGCCTCTCAGCTGTTCAAAGCCTAGAATGAGATGCCTGCTTAGTAGGTGTTAAATTATAACAGCAACAACCCATATGGTGCTTATTAGGAGAATAGTATTCCAAAACTTCTCTAATGACTGTGACCCTCCTGTGAAATTCTGATTTCAATTGTATATGGGGTACAATAAATCTTTATCTTTTATCACCAGAAAAGCTAATTGAACTGCTGTTTGCAGGCAGAAATAACAAAATGGGGGTAATGGGCTCTTAGCCTGGGCTAAGACTCTCAACAGCTTTTTTCTGTTTTGCAGCTCACACATACAGTCGGCTCAGGCAGACGGCCCAAGACAAGCCTGTGCCAAAGAAATGCTGATTTAGTCTGACCCAGACAATCTCTACTCCCACATGTCACTTCTCTGCAGAACTCTTACTAGTATGGCAAATACTTTAAAAATCATACAATAAAAGAAGGCAAAACCTCAGTAATTTGAGGTTCACTTTTAATAAACTCTTTCCATGCATTAAAATAAATTGAGGCCCTGAGCTCTGGCGAAATGTTTCCGGGTTTTTAATTCCCACCGCCCCCCCACCCCGGAGGCATAAATAGCCACATACGCAATTCAAAGTACTCTATTTGAACTAGTATAGGAAAGATGTTTTCTATAGATATTGCAGATAAATTTGCAATGACTTAAATATTTATCTGCTAAAGTTGCTGAGTGCCTCCACAACAAAACCGAACTCATTTTTTGTGCACGATGGGCATCTGAATGCTACCTGATGGTGATGATATAGAAATACTAATTGCTAAGTAAAAGTGGTAAGTGATGTGATCTACAGATTATGTAATGTAGTTCATTTCCCCCAAAATGTAAACTATATTTAGAAATATTCAAATGTGACATTATTACCCTATACAGGATGTCTTATCTCAGCATCAAGGGCGTCTGTAGAGCTGCTGGAGGAGGCTCTTTAGATTACGCAATCTAACTTCTGACAGCCCATTCAAAGGATGAGAACCGGTGCCTTGAAGCTCTCAATTTAAACTAGGAATCCTGTAGTCTAGTCTCTAGACTTATCTGACCTAGGCAGAAATCATCTCCTAGAGGCTTTTCATGGCTGATTTTGTGATGTTTTACTTGCACTGAAGATTTATTATTCCATGTTTTGAGTTAGTGTTATACAGTGCCATTCTATATATTTTCCAAATAAATGTTTGTCTTACAGAAGAAACTGTTTATACCATTCTAATAGGGTTGTTTAATAAGGAAATTTTACTCAGTTGGGTTTTGGATTAAAAATAAAAGAACAGCTTTTAAGATACAATGTCTAAATGATTCTCAATAATGATCTGTCTATGGTATAGTTACTTTTTGTCCTAAAATACCTTTTCTGTGGGTTGTATGGATTGTTTTATGTTGTGCCAGGCAGATGTGCATAATTTTCTGATTAAAACCAGTGCAAATACAGACTTCATATTCTATAATCTTTTAAAGAGACAAGTTACACTTCAAATCAAACAATCAGAGAGCTGTTTCAAATCAAGCATTTTAAGTTAAGTTGTATTGACATGGGGAGGGAGCAGATGACACACCTAATGAGTTAAAACAATGTTCACTGTTAAATTAGGTATAAATTAATGTAATAACTAGGGGTAGTGTGGGTATCCCTGACAAATTATGGATTTATCTGAGGATTAATGGAGGAATCCACAGATAATCCATAAATCTACCCATTTTCTATCTTCTAACCGCTTAGCGAGTAATTTATAAATTGTCTATTTGTGTGCTTTTTAAGTTACAGTGAGGGGTTCAGACATATTAAGGAAAATGCAGGCTGTCAAGAGAAACAGCAACAAGGGATCTATAGAGTTTGTAATCTGGAAAGTCACACCCGTAATTTTTATTTGATTGTAGTACCATTGCTGTCAGAGGCCTAACCAGTGGCACTGAAGGAGTTAAAACAGTCCCCACCCCCACTCCCGATTTCTAGAACCCCACGATAAATTGGGTAAATATGTATTCCATTCATTGGTGCATCTGACCTTGGTCTGTGACAGAGGAAAGGCGTGTCTTCTCATACTGTTCCCTATGAACAAAAGGCAAGCAAATGAGGGTGACTCAGGACTTCTCATGGCCTACACACAACTGAACATTTTTCTGAATGATTCCACGTATACACTTAGGAATCAGGAAGAGAAACATTTTACTCTTCACTAACCAAATAAAACCATCTATAAATCATATGCAAAACAACTTTTGAGTAAAGAGGGACTTAAAAGTCTAGGAATTAAAAAAGGATTTCCATAGTTTCCTTTTAACTCTCCCCCAACTCCCCTTTGGGGAATAAACAAAGACATCTGCCACATCAAGAGTCTGGTTTGTTTTCTTAACTGAAAACGAAATGCAGTCATTAAAGTATATCTTTGGGAAGAGGTTTTGAAATGTTGAGAATTACTTCTACAAGCTGCACTATTTTCAATTTCACTAAAAATAAAATTTAGCATTTTTGTTACAAAAACATAGTTCATCCTATTTCTTTTAACCTAGTTATTACATGAAAAATTGTTTATCATCTGTAACTTGCTAAGAATATGGTTTCTTGAAAACCTTAAATGGACTAATAATGAAAAACTATTAAAATATATATAGTGATGGGCCCCTCCTAGTTACCAGACCACCCTAGTGTAAATATATTCAAGTACACATTCACTGTTGCTGTTTAATTTAAAACATATAGTAACTCTATGTATATCCTAGCCTCCAACTCTTTATGAGTTTCACAACTTCCTTTCATAGAGAAGTCTGCCAAGCCATTAATCAATAAAAAGAGTAAAAGCTGCAACATCTAGGAAATTTCTTATTATATGAGAGTAGCCAGTAAAATGTGTCTCAGTGCTTTCTACCTTTTATCTCTATTTATAAATTTAAGTTTCAGGATATCAATAAAGCTCATACATGGCTTTGGCTTTTTTCATTCCTAAGCTTTCCAAAGTATAAGGCTTTTTTTTTTTTTAAATCCCTTTTGTCTTTAGCGCATTTCCTATGGCCCAACGTAGCTGTTTTATTCCAAAGCTTTTCAAAGAGCAGCTCCAGGTCTTGAGAGTCTTTCCAGTGTCGTCACTATCTTCTCTTTCCAATCTACCATTGCAGAATGGCTGGTTCTGCTGCTAGTTGAAAAATAAACAAATGCTTTCTAGCCGTACTTTGTTCAGCTCTTTTATCTGTGTCCCCTATCCAGTTGCCCTTTCCGCAGTCCCTGGCACTTCTATTTTATACCATCAGTTGCCTTTTTGTTCCATGTCTTTTATCTCCTGAAGTTCAGGCAAACCCCAACCCCAAACCCACACATCCTTTAGTCACATTGCCATTAGTGATTAAAACAATAGCCATTCTAAGCTTGCTTTAGAAAATTAAAAAAGGCCTCAGAAAATGTTCAGTGCTCCCAATTTTATTTTTATTTAATGCTAAAAGTTAAAGAAAAAAAGGTACTGTAAATCTGACAAATGACAGAATTCAGGTGATATTTCCATAGCGTGATTTTAAAATATAATAATGTTGGTATCTGAGATTACACTCACTTCAGTTGACATGAGTTTCATCATATATAGAAAAAGTATCACCTTCAACTTAAAAAAAGTAAAGGTTAAAAGGTGGCACACTTTTAAAATACTTGGTGGCCAAGGAAAGGTATATAGTAAAAGTTGTAAACCATGTGTATGTTCTCATAACTTTAAATGTGAGGCCACATGAAAGACAGTACATCTGTTAAATTCTATAAATTGTTAAAAGCAAAAAAGGGAAAGCTTCAACACCCCATCCCCTAATATTTTGAGTATTAAAAGCACAGCTGAAATATTAGGATTTGAAATCTGATACTGCCCATGTACAGTAAGTAGCTTTGTGACATTTTTATCCAGCTGTGGAGAATCTCTGCACTGTCATCAGGTACAACAAAAGATCAAACCCATGTCCCGATGTTAACTTTTTAACTTAAAAGAATGCCAGAAAACCCAGATCAACACTTTCCAGCTACGAGCCGTCCACAAAGGCCACCCAAAGGCCAGTCAGACTCGTGCAGATCTTATTTTTTAATAGTAGTAACCACAATACACAGCTCTTTAAAGCTGTTCATATTCTTCCCCCATTAAACACCAGTACAGAGAAACCACAGGTTGCCCTTTCCACAGCTGGATAGACTTATCCAAAACGGCAGGATGGTTCTGTATTAATCTTTTTGGAAAGCATGTCTGTATTAAGATTGCAAAACATACAGATAGCTACCACAAATTAGGTCAAACGACTGATCAAGTTGTAACATCTGTGAGGTCAAATTCCAAAGTGCCTAGATACACATTTATACAACAGACCATAAGAGCTGAATTCTTTACAAATGTCTTTATGGGCATGTAAAATTGACTCTGCATTTCTGCATGTGTGCATTCACATAAGAGAGACCAGTCTGCACTGAGTCATATATACTCCAACTTGAAAAAGTAAGTGTAACAACTGGTTAATCATGCAAGTCTGTTTGTAATATAACAATGACTGGTAAAACATGAATTCTCGCACAGTAGTAATAGGTGCACTCATTAAAAACACTACGGAAAAACACTGTATTTGGTGCAGTATCTGATTTTCAAGTGTTAGTAACTTGACCATTAAAAAATAGTTTTGAACAATTTAAAAAGGAAAGACAAACATATAACTAAAAAAGAATCCAAAGTTGGTAAAAATCTGTATTTTCAAATGTAAATAGAAGCTAGGCTGTGAACCATACACATAAATTGTAGACCTTGAAGCCATAATTCAGCCTAATTATAAGGCCAAGTTACAAACACCTGAACGTAAGGATTTAAAATAGTGTTCCTGTCAATGTTAAATCATAACAGCACAAAAGAAAAACCAGTATCACTGTGAGACAACTATTTCTAATAATTGATGATTTATTGGTTTTAAAAAAATCATTTTACTGATGCAAAATAGTGATCAAAAGAAATTAGTTTACAAAAAGACTTCTAAAAATATTTTGAGAGGTGGGGCCTGTCTATTATATAAAACCCTTAATTTCTTTAATTTCCACTAGTTTATCATTTTTTTCCAGAACAGTATTATTCACTTGGTATTTCAAACACATGTTAAGAAGGAAATTACAGGTTTCCTCCACCCACATTTGGGCTGTCACTGATATGCCCAAGGGCAGTCCTGGCAGCACCACGCGGCTGTTACTGTCATTGTACCATACTGTATTCAGCACTCACTAGAAACAGGGTATAGGTGATAGTATCAACAGCAATAGCACTACAGGTAAATGATAAACAAAACAAAACAGAAACAAAACCAATCCCACAATCTCCAAGTTCACCTGGACTGTAACTTCTCTTGCAACTCTTTCAAAATAAAGGACAACAGCAACAACAAACAGACCTCTAGGGTGTTTAAAAAGATGAAGTGGCGCTGCAGAGCTGGGCTCTGCTCAAAGATGGCAGTGCCATCTTGTACACACCACCATCCATTATAACCGCCTTCCATCACTGGAATTGTATCTTATGTAACCAACTAGCATGCAGCATTGTAATCTTACAACTGATCACGTGGACAGTGAACAGCGGTCAACTTTGTCTTAAAAAAAAAAAAACAAAAAACCCCAAAAGACCACACAATCCTGAAAATTTCCCAGCAGCACTCTCAGTCATCAGTATCTCAGGAACTGAACTTTTGAGCAAAATAGAGATTCAAAATCCACTTTCCTACTCCTCTGAGGACAATGTTTCAGGGTAAACTGGTGGTATTTCCCAGTGGCATGCCCACTTGACAACATGCCCGTTCGATCATTTCCTTTCCTTCTCCACCACTTGGCCTCCGGCCTGAGAAAGGGGCCAGCAATAAGGAATGACAGACAGTAAGGCAATCTTACAATGTCAGAAAATGTATTTGGCTTTTTTTTTCTTTTTAAAATAAGTGCATACAAATACAGCTAGAAGCATTTCTGATTTGCCAAGTGCTCTAAAAAAGCAGCGCAAGTCACAGCCTACATAGAACGGTAACTGTCACCAGGATAATAAAGCACAAAGATATGCTAATAACGTTAACAAAAGAAAAAAATGTCTTTATAAGTACATACCTTTTGTCGTCAAAAAAAATATAGAAACACAATGTATTCAAAAAAAATCAAAATTATACAGCCATGTTTATGAAGTCTACATTTCCCTTGTCTTGGATATATATATATATGGAGATATATATACAATTCAAGCAGTTTTAATTAAGGGTAATCATTGGGTTTTTCTGAAACCGGAAAAGTCACGAGTCTCTCTCTTTTTTCACTTTCACATCTCCAGCAAGGATGGTTGCAATTTCCCCTTGCATAAAGGCCCAGGGGACATTGGAGCCCACAAGAGGGCATTTTTCCCCACTGGGACAATAGACCTCTCCACTAGCTCCCTGCTGTTTGATGCTTTGTCTGGAGCAAGGGAAGCAGAACTTGTGCGAAGGGACGGACGGGCACTGCACAAAATGGGTGTCCTCCAGCCGCTCGTGGCAGAGGGTGCAGCACAGCGGGGCACTGGTTGCCAGAGAGGAGTCCGGGAGGCTGGCAGGGTGCACTGGCTCCAGTCCTCCTGTGTTGCCTGCTCCCTGGCCCCCCACCTCTCTGGGGCCCAGCCTTCTTTGGTTCATAGAGGACGGAGAGGGCGGACTGTTGCTATTCCTCCTGGTAGTGGAGTGAACCTGGTTGGCATCTTTTGAGGCATGACTGCCCCCTGCATTGTCTGCTACTAAGATCAGGGCTGCCATGGGGGACTGGCCATTCTGGGCCGCTTCAGGCGGTGTGGTCCGGTTGGAATGAGGTGAGGCAGTGGGTGGTGGCGGAGACACAAAAGAGGATGTAGGAGTCATGGGGATCTTGAGCCCCTCTGTGGATGTGGACAGCCACGGCTGGGCCTCTCCGTTGATCTTAGGGGGCCCGACTTCACCTTCTGGTTCTGGAGAGGGCTTCCTTTTCCTTGCTGTTCTTGCAACTGGAAACACAAAGAAATAAAAGGAAAAAGGTAACATAAGTGGCGGTGCACTGAAAGAGATCATTCTCTTCCTAACCCGAAACAAAAGTCGTTACAGAATTCCTCCTCTCTAAAAGCACAGACAGAAAATACTCATATACGAGTTTCAGGTGCACATGCAACTTAAAACCTTCAGGCGTACGGGATTCTGAGGCAGCAGACTGATTTAAAATGGAGCCACTGAAAATGACACGCTTGTAACTGCCTGTTTGTACACATGCACAAAAGTACCCTCGTTTGCACTCAACATGTGACTGCTAATGTCCCCCAATAGGTTAAAAGGTGACTGGTGCCCTCATGCTCCCATCCAAGAATGTGCTGGGAAAGGAAAACCCCGTGTCAGAGCGTATCAGCCCAGTCTGACTCATCTCTGTTATGCTGCTTCAGCACATGAACACGTTGCCACCAAGCACTGGTTCCGCCTCAGGCAGATCAGGAAGTGGGGTGTTTGTTGTTTCTGGGCTGGGGTAAAATGGTGAATCCAAAGAACCACCCTTCCTCTGCTCTCCGTCCCCTTTTCTCCCCTAGACCCCCTCACTTCACAGCCGCCCCTACCTGCTTTAGACCCGTTGGCCCCGTTGGCCTCGAAACCCAACAACCTGCCTGCAGTCAGGGCCGGCTCCTTCTTAAACTTGCTCTCGAAGGGCCCCGAGTGGCCGTGCTGGTGCAGCGCCAGCAGCGTGTCGCGCACGGTCTTGGGCCTGTTGACCCAGTCCTGCTCTCCAGACCCGCGGCTCTTGCCCGCACCTTCCGCGCTCAGCTCGGCGGCCCCGGCCGCGGTGGACAGGCTGTCGGCCGGGCCCCGGTGCGCAGGCGGCGGCGGTTGTTTCTCCTTGGCTGCCGCCTCACGCTGCTCGTGCTCCACGGCAGCGCTGCTCGACACGGATGCCGGCCGCTTGTGGGCGCCCAGATCGGTGGGCTGCGCGGAGCCCAGGCTGGCGGCCGCGGTTCCGGACACCGCGGCTAAGGAGGCGGCAGCGCGGCCGCCGAGGCCGAGCGCGGTGGGCAGCGGCGTGGCCGAGCCGTTCATGAGCGGCACCAGGGTGGGCGGCACCGCGTGGCCGCGCCGCGGGTTCGGGCTCTGGCGATTCAGCTCGGGCGGCTCCTCTAGCTTGGAGAAGCCGTTGGGCACCAGGATGCCGTTCACGGGCGGCGGCTGCGGCGTCGGCGGCTGGGCCAGGCTCGCTGCCGGGCGGCTGCTGCCGAAGTCAGAGCCGAGGCGCGGGGGCCTCTCGGCCGCGGCCGCCAACGGGTAGCGCTCCAAGGCCTGCGGCGCGCGCGGGGCCGCCTCGGGGCCGCCGTGGCCAAGCTGCTGCTGCTGCTGCAAAAGGATGTCCTTGGCGGAGAGCGGCGGCGGCTTGGCGGCGGCCGAGGCCGCGGCGCCGGGTGGGGAGCGACCCTCCGGGAAGCAGCCGTGCGCCCGCTTGAGCTGCCGCGCCGTCTCGATGACGAACTCGACGCGGTCGGCGCCCTCGTAGTTGACGCAGCCGCGGCAGACGGGTTCGGTGAAGTCCCAGATCATGGCCCAGGGCATGCGGGGCAGGTCACACAGGTAGCACGACTGCCGCCGGGACGCGGCCGCCACCGCCACCGCCGCGGCCATGTCCGAGGAGCCCGCGACGCCGGAGGAGGAGGCGGAGGAGGAGGAGGGGGCGCCGCCGCCGCCCCCCACCGGCACCACGCGCGCCCTCCTCCCCCCCCAACCCCGCGTCTCCCCCACCAGCGGCGGCGGCGGCCGCAAAGGCGGCGGCGGCGGCGGCAAAGCCCGCGAAGGCTCGGCGCCCGCGCAGCGCCCCCGGTGCACGAGGGGCGGCGGGCGCGAGGTGAGGGGCTGCAGCCGCGGCAGCAGTTCCCCCCGGCCGGCCCGGGCACGGGCGGGCGGCGCGGCGCGGCGGGGCGGCGGGCGCGGCGGTGGGGGCTCGGCCGGAGCCGCGGCGGGCCTCCAGACCGGGGCGAAGACGGGCCGCGCGGGCGCGGGGGAGCGCAGCAGGTCGCGGCGGCGGCCGGCACGGAGTGCGGGGCGGGGGGCGGGGAGGCCGGGGGGGCAGGGGGCGGGGGGCGGCCGCCGGGGCAGGCTCAGCCCGAGCGGCGGGGCATGCCGCGCCGGGGTGGCGGCGGCCGGGCGGCGTGGAGCTCGGGCGCGGCGCGGGCCCCGGGTCGCTCCGCCGCTCTCTCACAGCTCCTGGCGTCGCCGCTCTCCAGCGCCAGCGTCAGCGGCCAGCCCGCCTCAGCTCCGCCGCCGCCACCGTCGCTGCTGCTGCTGCCGCCGCGACCGCTCCACTTCTACAGACTTGATTCTTCGACAGTCTCGCACGGCGCCTGCGCGGGCCCCCTCCCCTCGTGCGCGTGCCCGCCCTCCCGCGCGCGCGCTCCCCCTCCCCCCGCGCGCCGAAGGAGCGCTGCCGGGAGAGCCGGCTACGCGGCGCCCGCCCGCCCGCGGGGCAGCGCAGCAGCGCAGCGCCGGTGTTCCCTTCGGAACACCGCGCAAAGTGATCGAGTGCTTTTCCTCCACTTTCCCTCACTTCGCGCCCCACCCGGCTGTCCCGACCACCCTCAGGATGTTTTCCTCTGGTGTGCCTCTGGGCCAAATCGTGCTAAAAATCATTTTTTTTCTTTTATGCAAGGACACTTTGTCACTTGGTTTCCGTCAGTCTCCTGAGAATGGGGAATTTAGGTCTAGCGTGGTTCACAGTTCTGGTTTTTTAGGAGTTATACTTGAAAGCTCAATGTCGGACACATAGCATGAAATCCGTCACTGGTGCTTTGCATTTGTCTTGGAAAGGACATACGCCCCGCCTGTCCCTTTTACTAACTAGGGAGACTGTGAATATTCCCAAGCCCAGCACCACGTGCACACGCCGCCAGCTGGCTCGCGCGTTTTCCACGGAGCCCTCTGGAGGGGAGGGAGCGCGGTTCGGACTAGCCTCTCCCGAACACCAAGTGCCGCTCTTAGCCCCGTCCAGCCCGCCCTGTTCATCGGGGGCCTCGCCGCGCCAGTCGCCCCGGCTGCCTTATGTAGGTATGCGCGGCGGGCGCGTGACGTGGGCGCGGGGCCGTGGGCGGCCGCCGCCGCGAGTGCGCACGCTCCGCGCAGACGTGCCTCGGCGCCGCTGGCACTAGGGCCTCGTGGAACGAATGCACATTCCAGGGATCCGGGGTCTACGGCCAGCGCGGCCGCGTCACAGCGCAGGCTCCACCCCCTTCGGCGAGTCTGGGCGTCGAGGCGCCGCCCCCGGGCCCGAACTTGGACTCGAGGTGGCGGGAGGCGAGGGCGCGAGTGGGGGGGGGGGGGGTCCTGCTCGCCTCCGCGAGGTTCCCGAGGGCCGTGGGGGCGACCGGCTGGCTGGCTGGCCCGCCGTCCCGCAGGGCGGGCCGCCGACGGAGGCGGACTTTTGCCCTATATGCCACCCAGGCCGGGATGAGCCCGGCCTGCAGGTCTGCCACCGTTGGCAGCCTCAGACTCAGCCCAGACTGAATTGAATGTTTGAGTTTCGCACTTTTATCGGGAGGAGGAGCTAGTGTGTGTTATGGTAAATCACTTTGGGCTGGTCGTTAGTCTCCCTAATACACGTAGGCTTAGTCGCTCTTCAATTGGGACTTTTACACTTAAGCTCTTTAAGGGCGGCCTCTGGAGCTGCTTTTGTTGGGAACACAGGCCCACAACTCTCCCTTGAGACTGGAATGAGCTGGTTAAGTGTGGGAAGAACAGGGTACTAATTATATTATCTTTCCTACAACTGGATTGGTAGGTGGAGAGAAAAAAAAAATCATGCTGACGTTTCTCTCTAGTCGTTGCTATTGAAAATACCAGGTTGCTTCAAAGGATTAACCACAAGGAAGAGGAAAAACACCCTTAGAGAAACAGTGGAGGGAGCTGCTTAAAACACATGAAAAAACCTGTTCGAAAATGGCACAGAAAACGTAATGTCAGACCTAAATGTTTTTACAGGCTAACCTTGAATGTCTTTTGGGGATTTCCATAGAAGGTGCGCCTGTTTTAAAGGTCTCTGCATCTGTTCCTGGATCTTGCCCTGCAATTGCAATCCTGCCTCACCCTCTCCAAGCTGGGAGAATGGGGCCTGTCCAGATCCTTCCCGGGAGTAGCTGGTGCCAGCGGGTTTGGTCACTCCCAGGCCCTGCTGTTGCACACCGCTTTCAAGACCTGTCCCTTTGGTCACCCTCCTCAGAGACCCTGTGACACTCATTCCAGTACATGCCTTCACCCACTGCGTCACTGCCCAAAGGGGATGAAGTCCAGTCCTTGTGCTGCAGAGAAATGAACCAACTCATCGCCCCCAAGAGACGGCCCCACTAAGCATTGACTGAAACATACTAAAAGAAAACACAACTCACCATTAGAGTTGTGGCCTAATTATACTCATTTCTCTGCAAGCTGGTACTGTAATGGCCTCAAGGGGAGAGCCTGCCACTCCATCCTAAAATAGAATTAGAGATAGAAATTCTGCCACGATACTAAGATCTTTGCAAAACGGAGCTTTTCTTCTCCAAAGGAAGAGCATTTCCTTCTTATTTTACACTGCCAGTTTCATGTCGAAACTGAGTTGTTGTAACTTCCCTAATGAAATGCCCGATGGAAAATGGAAGGGCTATTTTAGTTCTGGGCTCGATCCGGAATCAAGGGGGTTAAGGCTGGATTCAGGGCAGCAATTCCTTATATTGTATCAGAAGTCTTTCATGCAGCCTGGCCTTTCATGTAGCTCTGAAGCAGCTTTATCGATGTATGCTAAGTAAACATAGCTTTGTTTTTGTCTTCCACCCACCGCTCCCTCCCGGCACAGACTGGAGTTGGATCCCATCCAAAGCGGCTGCTGCAGCAGTTACAGCCGCCTCCTCCACACACAGGAGCAGGGTTTCTAGGGTGAGGCAATGCGTCTGCAATTCGCAGAGACAAGGCAGGAATTGTAATTGTAGTTCATCATGTGATGACTTATGAAAGAGGAAGTTGGTATGTTTTAGTCACGTAGACTCTGCCCTCTTGCTTGAGGCACCAGGTCCTCTCAAAAGAGAATTATGATCATCTTTGCCACCCAGAGTCAAGGTTACCGGGTTGGCTGCAGTGTGCTCCTGCACATTCATATACGGACAGGCAGGCAGATGCTGGGCCAAGTGTCGGCGACGCAGCGGGATGAGGCTGGCTTTTCACCAGAACACTAAAATGTTGCAATTTGTCTTAAGGACTAAAGGAAATATTCTATGGAGAACACTCCTGCTGAGACTAGACAAACCAACAGTCCTTTCCAGCTCTAATTTCTGAGAGTTGTTTTTTTTTTTAAATAAAAATCACAGTGTAGGAGTAAAAGGAAAGCCATTCAGTATGACACTATCAGAAAAGCAGGAATAAGGAAGTGGCTTGGAAGGCAAACCTAAGAGAGCAGTTGTAAGCGATAGCTCAATGGGTAGAACTAATGTGACCTTCCGACACTGAGATTGAAACGGGCTTCTACTGCGTGAACGTTAAACATCTAAAATCTGAATCTGGTTTCCAGAGCTTACTCCAGTCAAGCAGCTATTAACACACGGAAGCCCTGAACTGACAGTCTATAGAGCAGTGTAAAGAAACGGTTCCTACAAGAGTACCTTATTGGAACTTTGCCCCCAGGTTATGCAGCTGCAAGAGGGGTGCAACCCCATTCCCCCAGCAGCTTGTGGGTGCTGTCCAGGAGATAGATGGTATTCCTAGGAACTGCTGAGTTCGTGGCTTTCACCCTCTATCCAGAGGTGGAATCACAGCCTTCATTCTTTAGAGTGCAGTTTCCTTAAATAGCATGATGTTGCAACCATGCTAAAGCTTCTTAAACTCTGATCTTGGCGTATTTGAAGAAGAGAAAAAATGCAGCCACATTTCATCTGGATTTCTGTGGACATCATTGCGGGTTTCTTCAGCTTTGGCAAAAGTGTCGTAAGGTTTGAAGAGCACACGTGATATTCAGGGCTTTTCCAATTTTTTAAATAAGTTATATATATTTGAACACATTTGTTTATATGAATATATCTACACATACTATGGAGCACCATGACATAAATGAACCTTCTGTAATTGATATGAGAGTCTTCCTTCTTAGTAACAGCATTTTATGAGACAATCTTACTGTTTTTCAAATTGCAAATATTCTTTTTTAGAAATACTTTCCCTCTGTTTGACCTCTCTCTATAGCCTACCTCCCCTGTGCACAGAGCATACAGATATTAAAGAGACTTTTGCATGTGGAGGAGATAAACTCTCTGTGGAGGGTCTAAGAATCAAGCCAGATAAAATCACAGGAGCTCTTAATCATCCACATATTGTACACAGAAGCTGTTAGTCGGCAGCCTATATGTCAACGTATGTATAGGTCCCTATTTAGAGCAAAATTTGGGATCTTGATGAAGGTTAAATACTCACTGTGTCAGAATTTAAAGAGCTAAGTGAGAAACAGACAAAATAGACAAAGGAGAGATTGAGGTCACACACTTGCTCAGTCTGCAAGGAAATTTGTAGAACTGGAAGGGATTCAACAGCCATTTGATGCCAGTAAACCTCCTATTGACTTTTTGGAAAAAGCAGGATGAAATGCACTTTTCTGGAATATCTGGATGTGGGTTTAACTTAGAATATTTAAAACACTCACTGAAGCCCTTTGAAAGATATCAGTAGGAAGATGTTGACAAAATAATGAATTAACTTCACAGATAATGTTTGAAAATATAAAAATGGTAAATTTTCCCTTCTTAGCTTTTCTATTAAAAAATGTACATTTCCTACATACACATTCCATAGCATAAGAACTGAAAAAGTCAAATAATGTAATAATTCTAAAACGTTAAAGAACAGTACGATGGCATGGTATTTGCTGTATCTTTCACATGAACATTTTAAAAAGATATTTCAAGGATAAATTCTATTCTCTTGTCATCCTTTTCAGAAACTAAAAACCTGACTTACCTAAAGTAACATGAAAAGTGAGTGTCAGAGGCCAGACGCGGTGGCTCACGCCTGTAATCCCAGCACTTTGGGAGGCCACAGTGGGTGGATCAGGAGGTCAGGAGTTCGAGACCAGCCTGGCCAGCATGGTGAAACCCCATCTCTACTAAAAATACAAAAATTAGCCGGACGTGGTGGCATGTGTCTGTAATCCCAGCTACTTAGGAGGCTGAGGCAGGAGAATTGCTTGAACCCGGGAGGCGGAGGTTGCAGTGAGCCAAGATTGTGTCACTGCACTCCAGCCTCGGCGACAGAGCAAGACTCCATCTCAAAAAAAAAAAAAAAAGTGTCAGAACTGATATCTAGGTGTGAGTCCTGTTGCCTGAGGATGTAGTCGAGAATATTCTATTTGCATTTTGCATTGTTAAAAATCATGTAAGCACAGCATAGAGCCCAGCAAAGGAGTGTTAACATCTGAGTGTTAACAGGAAAGGTGTTAAGATTTGCTATCTATACCTATATTTATAGGAAAAAGGAAAATTTTAATATAGTTCATAGAACAATCAATCCAAAGAGAAGTAAACATTCACCACAGACAAAAGGAGCTGACAGAGGTAGGGCACAGTTGCTATAACACCATGTCGAGTGTGGGACTCTTTAAATGGCACACCATTTTTATGCTAGTCTTTATGAACCTTGGATAAAAACTGATGTTGGTGTTAGGATAAAAGATTCAATTGTGGGAGTCAGTTGGGTGATGAAATGGTTTTGGCACTTACCAGGTTGGAATACTGCACCTCCAACTCTTTGTGATCTATTTTCTTAAAAAGAGGAAAAACTCATGAAATAATTTAATTCCAATTGTAGGAGTCCAATCCTGACTACTTTGCACTCAGACAAATAAATACAATGGGCTACAGGGTACCGAAAAGAAAAAAGTGTGAAACAACATTGTATAGAATATCACAGTTGCAAGGGTACAAGTTGTTCATAAAGTATGCCAATGAACTTTCATTGTTATTATTATTATTATTTGAAACAGAGTCTTTCTCTGTCGCCCAGGCTGGAGTGCAGTGGTGCGATCTCAGCTCACTGCAACCTCCACCTCCCGGGTTCAAGCGACTCTCCTGCCTCAGCTTCCTGAGTAGCTGGGACAACAGGCACATGCCACCACACCCGGCTAATTTTTATATTTTTTAGTAGAGACTGGGTTTTGCCATGTTGACCAGGCTGGTCTCAAACTCCTGACCTTGGATGATCCTCCCACCTCGGCTTCCCAAAGTGCTGGGATTACAGGCGTGAGCCACTGCACCCGGCCATGTTTTGTATTTCTTATGAAATAGAAATTAGCCAATATGAATTAGGCTTTCTCTTGACAAGATGAAAATATATTTTGCAAAACAATGCCATTCAGCAGGATAATTTGGCCTTACCAATGGAGTTTCACTAATCTATTCTGGTGACTGACTTACTTTAGTCTAATGGGCTCAGCAAAAAATAAAGTAAGCTTGTTATTTGAAACAATTATTGTATGTATATACTGCAGATTCCAATGATATCTCTCAGAGGTCTACACATTTAACAATAAAATTCTTTCTCCAACACCTGTTTTTTGGCATGGGAGGAGTAGTGGTCATTTTTGTAGGTAAAGGAGACACAGAGAGCTCCCTACACAAGGAAGGAAAGTTGAGCAGACTGACTGAGGACTGTACTTTATTAGTTGGAGTGAATTCCGGTATGCATTGGCACATCCATTTCTGTGCCCACATGGTAATGCCTCTTTGTGAGGCAGAGTGCAAAACCACTGGGAAAATTAAGAATCACACTCAGAACTGAAGTTCATACAGGGGAGAAGGAAACAGACATGCAGTAGGCAGCCTAGATGTGAGCCCTAGCAAGAGACTACTGATGGATTCCCCAAAGTGACTGCCTAAATGTAGTGTGTTTACTACAAAGCTTGTCACAGACAGCTAAAATGCAAATACAAATGAACTTTGATGTACTTCGTGGCAAGACTCCCAGCCCTTCGAGCAAATTCCTGAGTGAGGAAGCTGGTTCTGAAACATGCCTGGGAACTGCACACATGTGAACTTCCTGAGGCCTCTTCTCTTTAGCACTTAACAGGTAGCTGGATTTTAAACATTTGTCAGGCTGCTTTTATTCTGTCTACCTACCTCTCAATTATCTACCTATCTACCTATCCATCTATCTATCTTTGCATTATCAGACCAATTCATTATTCTTAACAATAGTTAAGAACATCAGTGTCTGTTCACTTTATGAACTGAGACACCAAGATAATAAGGAATCTGTCTTAAAACAAAGAAAATGTGTGGTTAAACGACAGTTAGAATTCAGGTTTCCCAAACTGCAGTTCTTTCTTTAGCCCACTGGTGGGCTACCTCCTATTTATATTTTCTTCATAGGTTCTTTTTTGCATACATGTAAATATCTATGCAGGAGATCACTGAGGGACCGTAGCTTCTCTTCATTCACCTGGCATGTGACCTGAGGCAGGTCAGCTGGACACCCTAGGCCAGTTTTTCTTGAGTGGAGGAGACGGTGCTGGCCTTGATGTCATTTCTGTTCTGACCTCTCGTGGTGGGTGGGGGTGATGGGAATACACAGGAATTTGACAAACCCAAGCCCAACATTCTTCTGACCCACATGGGATTACAAAACAATGCGGAAAAACTACCAGTAAATGCCTGCCCATTATTTGGGGGCATTGTGCCATCCAAATAAAGTCAGGAGGTTAAATGGCTACCAGAGCATCACATCATCGAGAACATCGTGTCTGCTTGGTTTGGGCTCAATCCCAGATTAGGAGACTCTAAACCACGGTCTATACTTAGTTTAAATTAGCCAGGGCAAAACATCTGTATCAGCATTAATATAAGCCCAACTTCAATGTCTCAGGGCTTATGGAAAATATTTGCATTTTTCTTTCCTCAAGAGACTGCCTTATTTCATATATGTATGTGTGTGTATGTGTGTTTATATATAATTTTATATGTATATGTGTGTATGTATATATACACGTATATGTGTAAATATACGTATATATACACGTATACACATACATATACGTGTATACGTGTATATATACATATATACATATATGCATACATATATATATACGGGCAAAGACTTAATATACTATCCACAGGCTATTCAGATTGTTCAAGAGGCTCTCAGTTGAAGAAGCAAACAGACAAACAAAACGGTTTCATACACAGGCAGGCATTTGGCTGAGTAGGTCGGCAGGATATGGAAACTTGCTTTGAGGTGTTTTTGGATTCTCACCTAGAATTCTACTACTTAATGGCTGTGTGGCTTCTTTGCAGGCTATATACTGAATTCATAAAGGATGTTATGAGAGTAAATTCAAAGAATTCTGATGTTTTGAAATTTGTTGTGACTTGGTTAACTATGGTGAAATGTTACATTCGTGTTACATTATGGCTTTTGTTTATACGGGTCTGATTATGGGATAACTTAATAAAGTTGTAAAAAACTCTATGTTTTTCAAAAATTCTGTGTTTTTCTTATGTGAAGAATTTGTTTCAACTATTCTTCAAACACCAGAAAAGGAGTCACCGTATACTTTACTTTTCATATAAAGATTACTCAATATATTTTAAAATGGGTGTTCCAGAATTAGACTTCCAGATTCCTTGAATTGAGAGTGTGGAAAAGGATAGGCAGCTCCTGTAATAGGAGACATTCTTTTAAAAGCCTGGAATGCTGAAACCCTCTTAGACTGAAAACATGTCAGGACATGCCTTTTTGGGATACTGTCAAACGGTTTAGGCTCAGAATTCCACATTCCGTACTTTTGAAGTTGTTTTCTGTTGGCAAATGACCTCTTGATTATTTTCATGTGGTGAGTATTCAGGCCAACCTTTTTGGTTCCAAGTGATTTAAAAACACACACACACACACACACATAAAAACAAACCACTCTGAAGTGTCCATATTTTAGCATAAAGTTAGGAATTATGCGAGTGCTGGGTGTATCACGGTCAATTCTGTGAGCCTCGTCACAGTTTATAGCCGAAGTCAGAGGCTTCAAAATCAGACACACATTGACCTGGAATGCTTTATTCTGCAGTGCTCATTCTTGATTCTCAGAAGTATCGCTCCTGTGAAAAACTTATCACCATTAGGGAGCTGTCATTTCCCTGGTAAAATTAAACAGCAATTTCATTCACCTTTGCTTCTTTTTGGATGAAGGCTGGCAATGGTTTAAGGAACAAATAAATGAATGAATAAATGAGTGGAGTTCCCTCCTCCTGACTCAGAAAGGTGCTATTTCCCCTCACGCAGGAGATACAACTTCCATGCAAGCCAGTTCTCCTACTACATAGAGCCCTTCTGTTTTTAGGAAGTTCTGATTCATGGATTGGAGAATTGAACTAAATTAGTATACTGTACAGCATGGGCCTGGTTAAATTAAACATAAATGCTCTGCCCCCTGCCACCCACCTCACTGTGACCACGGAGAGTTCATTTAACAGGCGCCACTGTCTGTGAGACCCAAACAAAGGTAGCTGACTTCAAACCCTGTCTACATTTGCCTTATTATAGACCATGTGTTAGTAGATGTTGTAATATTTTTTATGAACCAGTAGGATTCTCAGAATGCTTCAAAACAGGCATGATATTGGGTGATGATTTTATTTTAAGTCTCATCTCGATTTAATTTTGTGAGAATTTTTTAAAATTGTCTGTTTTATTGAGAAATTGCTCAGAGATCATATACAATGAGAAACTCGGCTAGAAGAAGATAAACAAAACAAGTATAACAGAGACAACGTTCTTTTAAAACATTTCATTTTGCAGACCAATAATAAAACTTGTAAATCTTTTAAAAATACTTTTCTTATGGTGTATAAATTCTGATATTTTACTTGAAGCTAATAAAGCCACCATAGAGAAGAAAGTTAATTTTTTCTTCTTTAAGCTTTCCATAGGTAGTATAATTTAAATAATTCTGTGGTACAGTTTCAACACCTCAGATTGAGCACTTTTGTTTACGAAGTAAGAACAGTAATCCTCATGTAAAAAGGTGGTATTGCTACCCTAGACAGCAGATGGTGTTATTAAATACACAGGCAAAGTCTAAGGTCATAAGGAACTAACAATTAACCAGAAATACGATCTGTCACAGTCGTTTAATGGGTAACCTAACAGATATATACCGCTTGTATTCTTCTGAGTGGTGGGAGGTAAATAGTCAAGCTTCAGAGCAGTTGCACAATCGTTTAGAAATATTGTAATTATATTCTTATTTAAGCATTTAGGGAAACCAACAAGCGAGAAAGAAAGTGAAAATCAGTGTGATTTCCTCATAATACTGTGTCCTGTTAATCTGCTTTGAAAAATACTTTACAAATTCAGACAGCACAATTTCATAGCTATCCCTGAATCTAACTCGTCTCCCCAAACTAGGAATGTCAAAATTTTGAATTTTTTACTGCCAGTCTCAGTTGTTCTAAGATCTCTTTACATTATCATAGGTATAATTTTTGCCCCTGAAGTTTTCGTCGTGTGAAGGTAAAAAATTGGAGCATACACAACAGCAAATGGAAGCAGGGTGGCAGGAGACAGCTGGGAAACTGTAGTGGGGAGGAGAGGCAGTCAGCTGGTGGGGTGGACCGTAGGAAGAGAATGGTCTCACCAGTAAGGAATGGGTGGCACTATTAAAATCTGGATGTGGGCTCAATTTCTATTGTAAATCAAATATAAATCTATCACTAAAATAGGAGCTGGATACACAGTGCCCAAGTCCTCGTGAGAGTTTCCCAAGAAGGGTTTACCATGGAGAATGTGTCATCAGTTCCTTTTCAGTTAGGGCTTTTGAGGATGAGGAACTGAATCCTAAATTCACCCAAAGGAAAAATGGCCAACAGGGCAGCAACTAAGCCTGGATCACAAAGAACAAACTGCTTGGTTAGAATTTGGAAGAGTGGCTGGGTGCAGTAGTAATATAATCCCAGCACTCTGGGAGGCTGAGGCGGGAGGATCACTGGAGGCCAGGAGTTTGAGACTGGCCTGGGCAACATAGCAAGACCCCCATCTCTACAAAAAAAATACAAAAATCAAGGCCAGGTAGAGTGGCTTACACCTGCAATCCCAGGACTTTGGGAGGCTGGGGTCTCTACCAAAAAATTAAAAATTAGCCAGGTGTGGTGGTAGTGCATACCTGTAGTCCCAGCTACTAAGCAGGCTGAGGCAGGTGGATTGCTTGAGCCCAGGAGGTTGATGCTACAGTGATCCATGAACCATGATCACGCCACTGCACTCCAGCCTGGGGAACAAAGCGAGACCCAGTCTCTAAAAAAAAAAAAAAAAAAAAAAAAAAAGTTTGGAAGAGTGAACCTTGTCCCATAGGCAAATAACTACGAAGCATACCCAAGAGTCATGACTCTAGCCATTGTGTCAACCAATTGTAAAAACAGCATCTGGAAAAGCAAAAACATCCTCAGTGCCCCAGGTGAATAGAAGATGAACAATGAAAAGCAAGGTTCAGAGGTCACTGGCTGATCAGGCTAAAAAAGTGGGTAGATTCCAATCTTCGGACAAAAACTATTCTTAAAAGACAAAAAGTTATTCAGTTTCCTTGCTGTTGGATTTGGTGAGGATGTCTGAGTCCCAGAAAATGCATACTAATAAGGACTTTTTTCTTATACAGTTTCATGCATTTATATATGTTTATTTAAATTTCTCTAAATTTAATTTGAATAAGGCAGGCAACAGCATCTCAGGGCACAGACTCATAACTGGAGACCTTCATCCACAAGCTTAGCTAGCTAGATTTTCCGTGTGGCCAGGACGCCTGCTGAAACTTCCAGCAGTCCTCAGAAAAACTGATGAGATACCCTTGGGCTGAATGAGTAAGAACTTTCTGGAGAGTGGAAGACTGGTGAAAGTCCAGCTGGAAAAACATATGGCAGCAGAGGCGGAAAGAGTGCTTTATGACCGGGAGCTTTATAAAAAAAATGTCTGAAGGCTCAAGGCAGCCGTTACAACCTAAGATCCTACTAAGCATGATGGATGTTTTTACTTCTAGGATTGTCTCCAATTTACCTGGACCACAGCCAGCACCGTATCCTCAGGCACCCCATGGGACAGTACATACAGAAGAACAGCATCACACCACATCCTATCACCAAGGCCAGGATTCTGTGCCTCTGCCCCCCTCCCCACCTCCTTGAAACGGGGGAAGTAGGGGGAAGAGTCAATTCTTCTTGGAGCACATGAGATGGTAGCTTGCTGTGTTGTCCTGAAAGAAAACAAAGTTTGTAAATCACTGTAGATAGTTTTTTTTTTTTTTTTGTAATAGATATGTCGGGAGGGAAAATGACTATGGTAAATTCCATTCTCAACCACACATTAACTCAGAGAATTCTTGAGCTACACAGTGACAGACTGAGCTCAAGGAGAAAGACAGGCATTCTGAGTTTCAGACTACGGAGCCATTTGGAGGTGACATGTACAGAACAATGCACAGCTTTGAGATTTTATATTGGTCCTTCCCTGCCCAATGTCATTTCCAAACTAATAGAAAGGAATATTTTATTTTTTCATGTTAACTCTTCATTATAATCATCTCTTACTGCAATGACCATTTGTATCTGTTACTGAGAACAGGTATAACTAGCTTTAAGAACATTCTACATGGAATGATATATTCCTTAGAAAGAAATCAATTAAGAGGTGATTATTCACAATTACAAAAGGACCCTTTATAAAGTCTGTAATTTACCACAGGTTTAAAGAAAAGTACAGTTGACCTTTGAACAACACAGGTTTGAATGGCACAGGTACATGCATTGATTTTCTCTTGCTTCTGCCACCCCTAAGACAAAGAGACCAACCCCTGCTCTTCCTCCTCCTCCTCAGCCTACTTCACTTAAAGACAAAGAGAATGAAGACCTTTATGATGACCCACTTCCACTTAATCAATAGCAAATATATTTTCTCTTCTTTTTTTTTTTTTTGAGACAGTCTGGCTCTGTTGCCCAGGATGGCACAATCTCAGCTCACTGCAACCTCCACCTCCTGGGTTCAAGCAATTCTCCTGCCTCAGCCTCCCGAGTAGCTGGGATTATAGGCGCCCGCCAACATGCCCGGCTAATTTTTGTATTTTTAGTAGAGACTGGGTTTCACCATGTTGGCCAGGCTGGTCTCGAACTCCTGACCTCAAGTGATCTGCCCGCCTGAGCCTCCCAAAATGCTGGGACTACAGGTCTGAGCCACTGTGCCCAGCCCCTCTTCTTTACAATTTTCTTAATAACATTTTCTTTTCTCTAGCTTCCTTTTTCTGTAAGAATACATTATATAATAAGACACATACAAAATCTGCATTCATGGACTGTTTATGTTATTTGTAAGACTTCTAGTCAACAGGTAGGCTATTAGTAGTTAAGTTTTTGGAGAGTCAAAGTTAAACTCAGATTTTTGAATTCGCAGGGGTTGGCACCCTGACTTCCATGTTGTTCAAGGTCAAATGTACTTAAATAGTATTAGATTTTTTAAATGTAATCAACATAGACTTGTTAAAGCTCCGCACAAGTTGCTTTGGAGAGGCAAGCATGTGGACCTCTTTTCATGGATGCCTCAGCGGTGGCATCTGTAATGTAGCCATTGCAGACACCACTGTTTTTCTTCAACAGACAATACTGTCTCCCTTTCGGCTTCTCTGATGGATGTTTCACCACTATTTTACTTAAGCTGTGTTGACAGTAGAAGCAGCAATTACTGTAGTCACAAAAATCAGGGCCTACCTTTATTACCCGATCATTATGACAATTATCCCCACCCCCCGTTTTCTCTTTGTCCGTGCACACACATTTCCAAGGCATGTATTTTCATTACCAGACAGAGAAGGGCCTACAGGTCAATTGCACACACTCCGTACTGATAAAGTAATGTCATTAACTTTTGATTTTTTAAAAAAAGCAAATGACAGTCCTCTATTCCTGGATTGTGTTTTTCGTCTTAGGTACTCAAGTAAAAACCAAGATGGTGTCTCTCTCTCTCTCTCTCTCTCTCTCATATATATATATGCACACACACACACACACACACACACACACACACACATATTTAATTTTAATAATGTCAGGCAGTATGTGTTTTGTTTGGAATGCACTTTGCACCCATGAGCAAAAGCCAGCACTGTGAATCTAAAACTACCTGGGCCTAATGAGGAAAGGCTTTGAAACCTGGGCATTTTCTAAATGTTCAGGGAGAGAAAACAAAGTCACCTCTTCTTAACAAAAACTTTTCTCTTTAGGGGGCTCCAGGGCTGTTAAGAACGATTTGGGCCAGGGACTGGCCAGATTTTTGTTCTTTTGAATGGTGTCCCCACTTCCCCTTTCTGGGGACCTCAGTGGACTTCTTTTGCATTTCCTGGCTCTGTTTCACACAATGCTTAGAGCTTCAAATCCCACTTCTCTGCAGTTACTCCAAGGTTTAAGCTGTGGGAAAGTCACTCAGGCTATGTGGCGGGGGCCAGCTTTGCTTCTGCTGCTGTACTGCTGTGTCAACACACCACTTCTCTGTGCCTCTGTAAATTGATATAACAACGGCAACAACAAAACCGACTGCCAAGTCAGTATGTGATTTACAAATATGTCCAGAGACCATTCAGTATCAGTATCAGCCAGCAGATAAAGCACAGGGCTTAGAGTCAGAGAGCCTGGGGTCTTATTCCAGCTCTACCACTTTTATCAGTTGTGTGATCCTAGGCAAGTGACTTAAACCTTCTGTGTCTCAATTTCCCTATCTGTGAAAAATGGGTCTAAAGTTAGTACTTACTGCAGAGGTTGATGGGGGGATTAAATGATGTGCAAAATGCCTGGAACAGTGCATGGTCCATGGCAAGCCCTGGATTCACATTGGCTTTTATGTTACGTTAGTTCCAGACTTTGCTAAATCAGGCACTTCTAAAACCAGCCAGTTCTGCTGCTGCTGCTCATGGCCAGGCTTCAGGATCCTTAGGAACAATCTCTGCTGTTTAGCAGTCCTCCTCGTCCACCACTCCATGGAAGTAGCTGTCATCAGAGCTGCCAATGACTTCCCTGTGACCATCTCCAAGAAGTTCTTAGCGCTCTGATCCTTTCTGAGTCATCTGCCACTTTGGATATCACTCCTTGGCATCTTTTTCTCACTTTGACTCTTAAAGAAATATCCTGTACCTACTGAACTTCTTTCCCTATGTTTTTATTTTATGTGTTTGCTCTCTGCCTCCCCACATCCCCAACTCCCTACTCCACACTGGAAGTGTCAGTACTTGGCACATCGTAGATGCTCAATAAATGTTTGTGAACTGATTTGAACTGTGTCGTTGAAGTAGTTCCTCAACTCTGTCCCTTTGTATCATTTTCTTGATATTTGAGCCCTTGCTGCTCTGCCTGGAATCTCTGCTATGATGAAGCAAACCCTTCAACATCTTCTCACTTATAGTTCATCTTTTTCTCTTTTTGAGCCTTGAAATTCATTTTATTTTATTTTGTATATTTTTTGAGACAGGATCCCACTCTGTTGCCCAGGCTGGAGTACAGTGGTGCAATCATGGCTCCCTGCAGCTTCGACCTCCCAGGCTCAGGTGATCCTCCTGCCTCAGCCTCCCCGAGTAGCTGGGACTACAGGTGTGCACCAACACACCTAGCTGATTTTATGTATGTTTTGTAGAGACAGGAGTTTGTCATGTTGCCCAGGCTGGTCTTGAACTCCTGGGCTCAAGCGATCCACCTACCTCAGCCTTCCAAAGTTTTGGGGTTATAGGCATGAGCCAACACATCCAGCCTGAAATTCTTTGTAATTAAATTAACCTGTCCCAAGTTTCCAATTTTGGGAGGGAGGTATATTTTTAAAGTCTAAATTTCATTTTATTCAGGAAACAGGAATTAAGCCCCACCACACATCAAAACTACATACTATTATCCTAAAAATAACTCCTCTTGAGGCATGTAAGATGCATGTTAACAAGGGAATCATATTCTCTGAGTGGCAGAACCCAACATTTTAATATGCATTTTATGGGTGTGGTGGCACATGCGTGTAGTCCCAGCTACTCAAGAGGCCGAGGTAGGAGGATCACTTGAGCCCAAGAGTTCAAGGCTGCGGTGAACTATGATGGCACCTCTGCACTCTAGCCTGGGCAACAGAGCAACATGCTGTCTCTTAAAAAATAAAAAATAAAGTTGATTTCTTTTCTTTTTTTTCTTTTTTGAGATGGAGTCTCGCTCTTTCACCCAGGCTGGAGTGCAATGGTACAATCTTGGCTCACTGCAACCTCCGCCTCCCGAGTTCAAGCAATTCTCCTGCCTCAGCCTCCTGAGTAGCTGGGATTACAGGCATGTGTCACCACGCCTGGCTAATTTTTGTATTTTTAGTAGAGACGAGGTTTCACCATGTTGGTCAGGCTGGTCTTGAACTCCTGACGTTGTGATCCACCCGCCTCAGCCTCCCAAAGTGCTGGGATTATAGGCATGAGCCAGCACGCCCCACCCAAAATTGATTTCTTAAAGACAGTGAAGTATGATAACTGTTGGTTTGATCTTGCCCTGAAGCCGAATAAAGGTTTGACCTATGAGAATCAAGGACAATTAAAATATTAGCTTATAGCATAAAAAGAGAAGCAGACTTCCCCTTACATGCACACACATACACACACTCTCTTTCTGAAGTCAACTATACATAATTTTTAAGACATTACACATTGGATTGTTCCCACTATCACGCGATCTTGTAATGATCAGGACTGTCTTCTTTGTTACATGTAGTAGGGACCAAGATACTTTTAGGGCCTCATGAAAATGTTTGATTTTAATTTATTTTAAAATCAGGGCCGGGTGCAGTGGCACACACCTGTAATCCCAGCACTTTGGGAGGCCAAGGTGGGAGGATTGCTTGAGTCCAGGAGTTCAAGACCAGTTTGTGCAACGTGGCAAAACTGCGTCTCTACAAAAAAAAAAAAAAAAAAAAAAAATTGCGTAGTGGTGCATGCCTGTAGTCCCAACTACTTGGGAGGCTGAGGTGGGAGGATCACTTGAGCCTGGGAAGCGGAGGTCACAGTTAGTCAAGATAGCTCCACTGCCCTCCAGCCTGGGTGACAGAGTGAGACCCTATCTCAAAAAACAAATAAATAAAATCAGAACGAAAAAATATAATAATCACAAGTACATAAGAACAAATTCATATACTTTTTAATTTTATTTTTAATGAAGAAAGGAGCCCACAAAGACAAAAATACCCTCAGCATTTCCAGGCACCACAAGAGTCACAATGAGGCCCTAGTAAGGACACCAATCCAGTTGAAGTTCATGTATTCATACTGAGTACTCCTGGAAATTTTCATATTTTAAATTTATATATTGCGCAAGACTTAGTCTTTGATTTTCTAGTTTTTTCTATTTATACTAACACCTCAGAGACCTAATACATTTCATGGCCTTTGTTTACTGTCTCTATCGTAATGACTTCCAAGTCCCTCTCTTCTCTATTCTTGTGTTGGAGTTCTAATTTTGTACTTCTAAGTACCTGTTGGGTATTTCCACCTGTGTATCTCATCGCTGGCTCAGCCGACAAACACATCACTGAGCTCACCATCTTCCCCTGCTCTTCGGTTTTCTCTCTTCAATTTTCCTGTCTATTAGAGTTCCTGCTAACTCTGTAGTCATTAATGAACCAACCACAAGCTTGTCTCCTTCTTCATCCCCTTATCTGAGGACCTGATTGAGCCTCTGGTCCCATGCCCACTGCCATCCCTATTGAAGTCTCACTGCCAGTCCCTCAGCCAAGCATCCTTACTTCTCATCGAGTTCCACATGCAGACTCCTGACTGACTTCTCTGCATTCCAGCTTCCTTGTGCGATACATTCCTGACCCTCCCCGAATTGATCTTTGTACTGCTTTCATCATTTTCCTCCTCTGCTCCATAATTCCTCCGCACTTCAACCCAAACTCCTCACCCAGTTTAGAAAGCTCTGCTCACGTGGTTCCTCCCACTGTGGACAATGCATCTCCCAACACATTAACACCCACCAGAGGTGATGATTAAGGAGTCCCTTCACTCACGAACTAGACTTGCTGTCTTAGTCTTTTGTGTCTGCTCTTTCTTTCATTCATTTACTCCATTTTTGGGGTAACTACTCTGTCCCAGGCACAGACACCTTAAATGGTCCTCTATTACCTATTCCAACCCTATACAGCTTTCAAAGCTCAGGTCAACTTCCAATCCATGAAGCCCAGGTCTCCCTTCTATCACAAGTCTTTTTCCTCTGAACTCCTGGGAAGCTTAGAGACATTGTCAAACATTTAGGACTTAAACATGTGACATGAGATTTCCTGACTGTGTCACGCATGCTCTCCAGTCTGACTTGTTTGAGTTTCTGCAAAGATCTTTACAGAAGATCTATCTTCTTACCACTCAGCTGCAGCTGGCATCGAGCCCTGGCTGGACTAGTCATGCTAACCCCTTGGTTATTAATCATCGCCATGATTTTTCATGTGTTTACTATAGTATGATCCAGGCGTTGACTATACTGGGCACTTTATGAGGTTGTTATTATCCTCCGTTTTTTACAGATGAGGAAAGTGAGGCTCAGAGGGGTTAAGTGACTTCTCCAGTTTTACATAGTTTGAAAGTGGCTGACTGAGAATTTGAATATAGGTCCGACATAATTCAAATATTGTGCTCTTGACCACTTAACTAAATTAACTCTACTTTCTGATTGATTCACATATGTTGAAATCTACTCATTCTCCTCCTAGTGTCATTATGTTTGTTTATTCTCTCCTTTATATTTTTAAGGCCTGCTGGTCTATCCTTTCCAGGATCTACACTTATGCTGGACCCACTAAGCTGTCCTAGAACATCATAGTAAATGTTCACCAGATATTAATTATTTGAGTGAGAATGGTTGTGAGCATTGGGTACTCCCCCAGCCAGTACCCTTCTCTCTTGCAGTAGTATATTTTGTAGATTAAATAAAACTCAAGATAAAAAAAACAAATTAATAAATGATCAATGGAAACAGAAATTTGGAACATAAAAGTATTATTTCAAAATGAACACATTATATGTAAAAGCTCACAACCAGGAATTTCTTCAGTTGGGTTTGCAGCAATGTTATGTCACTAATACTATATTTCTCTCTGTATGGCCAAACCTGTAAAGCCTCAATATCTGATTATGGAGCACATCTAGACTGTTAAAAAGCTTTCTATAATATTAATAAAATCAAATAATAAATAAAAATTAAATTGACTAATCATAGCAATTTCATTTTGAGAATGTTTTGTAGGCTGAAGGCAAATCCTTGAGATATTTTTGCAGGAGCGTCATTGCGAAACAGAATCTGCAGTAGAACTATGTCATCTTCTGGTTCTGAGTGTGCCCTCTCATTGCTGGCAGATGGCAAGTATTTATTTGCTTGCTAGCTCTTTAGTGGAACTGGTCTTCTGTTTCCACTGTCGCCTCGTGTGACACAAACTGCCACCTATCTCCCAAGGTTCTTTCTTTGTAACAGAACCCTAGTTTTTGGCTGGACTCATTTCCCCAGTGGTAGAGGCTGCTGGCTGGTCATGTCATGAGCCCAGGTCTTCTTCTTGGGCACAACCAGATGCCATTTCTCAGCCTCCCTTGCAGTTATATGCAGCTGTGTGTTTGAGTTCTGGCCGTTAGTGAGTGGAAGTGATGTGTCCCTTCTACTCACACTTCTGTAGTCCTGGCCTACAGAAACTCACAATGGTTCTCTATACTCTTTATCTTTCCACAGCTTAATGCAGTTAAGTAACAAGATCTTGGAAGACAAGTGTTGAAGGTGAAAGAGGCACAAGATAGAAGAAACCTGGGTCCTTAGATCCTTGCTTGGAGGAAAACCACCTGCCAATCCAGAACATCATTTTGGACTTCATGTGAGTGAGAAGTAATCCTGTATCATGTTTGAGCCATTAAGCGTATTTTGATTGCTTGTTCTGATAGCTGTAAGTATCTTACTGATGTAGACATCATAAGTGAGAGACCATGTTTCCTCACCTCCCCTGCTAAGTGTAACCATGTAACTAAATTCTGGCCAATGAGATGTAAGCAGAAGTGTTTTGTGTGACTTTGAAACAGGATGCTTCAAGGAAGCTGATTTGGACGGGATGGGAAAACTTCTGTTGTCTTTTGTTCCCTTTCTTTTATAGTTCAGCACTCAGACAAAATGTCAGGAATTGCTCTGGCCATCTTGCACTTCTGTGAATGGAAACCATTTTCTAAGACAATGGGGTAGGGTGATAGAGAAGACTAGGTTTCTGATGGATGTGGAGCTGTTGGGCCCATCTGGGACTCTTAACCCCATCCACAGTGCTTTTATATTGGAGGAATCTCTTGTTTAAGCCTCTATTTTATTTCTCATAGAGACACACGTTCTTTCTATAGGAGCAAAAGTGACCATTTTAAGATTTGAATCAAGTTATGCCACTTCTTGGCTATGAATCCCTTCCTGACTTCCAGTTTACCTTAGAATTGAATTTATATTTCTACCATGGTTTATGAAGCCCTGCTTGATTTGTCTCCTGCCTACCCCAATGACCCCACCACAATTACACTGGCCTGCCTTCTGTTCTGCTGTAGTGACTGATCATTCACCTCCATGAGGCCCTACTGAAGATGTTACCTTTTCAGGGAGGTTCTCTGACCTCCCACCTACAATGGGCTCTCCCAGCTTTCGTCTGTCTCACCACCGTGTTTACTTCCTACATGGCTCTGATCACAGTCTTTAATCATCTGGTTGATGTATTTATTCATTTGTTTGTCACTATCTCCCCAACTAAAATGTAAGCTCTGTGAGGCAAAGATGGTCTCCAGTACAACGCAGTGCCTGCTGCATAGGAAGCACTCATTACATTATGAAAAATACAGCAAACATGTATGTACATTTGAATATACATAAACACTAGATGTATGTGCATGTGTACACATATATAGTTGACCTGTGACTACTGCAGGAGTTGGGGGCGCTGACCCTCCATGCAGTCGAAAATCTGACTTTTAATATAACTTGGTTTTTGGATTTATAGTGTGTGGATTTCTTTTTAAAAATCTGGCCCTGATTATAAAGAGAGAAAAAGTGGAATTAAATTTAGCCATTATTAAGAATCCAACAAATCAAATATAAGTCACAGTGAATACTAAAATTTTGAGGTGAAAAAGAAAATTAGAACTGGAGATAGACATTATAGTGCCGTCCCAGAAAATGGCAGTATCTAGCCCATGAGAGAGTTTCTTTCATATTTTTTTCATTACATGTACTAAACATAGTGATTGCTTTTTATCTTTTTAAAAAAATCTAGGCCAGTCGCGGTGGCTCACGCCTGTAATCCCAGCACTTTGGGAGGCCAAGGTGGGCAGATCACAAGGTCATGAGATCGAGACCATCCTGGCTAACACGGTGAAAACCCATCTCTACTAAAAATACAAAAAATTAGCCAGGCATGGTGTCAGGCACCTGTAGTTCCAGCTACTCAGGAGGTTAAGGCAGCACAATGGCGTGAACCCGGGAGGTGGAACTTGCAGTGAGCCGAGATCACGCCACTGCACTCCAGCCTAGACAATAGAACAAGACTCTGTCTCAAAAAAAGAGAGAGAAAAAAATATCTAAATGATTATTTGCTCTCTGTTCAAAAATCACTCAGCCAAATAGAATTTCCTGCTGAAGAAAATTATGACATAAAAATTTTAAAATTACCCCACCACTTTTTTTTGTTTGTTTTTTATCTCTGTCAGTTTGTTACCTTTATTCCTGAAAGAAGGACTCAAGACTCATGTGATACTCTAAAATAGATATTAATAGGAAATGTTCCTAGACAATGTGGGTTTGCAAGAGAAACAAAGAATTTATTGTTGACTTGATTACTAGCTCAAAGTAATCAGAAATTCCATGAAAGACACTGAAAGTTGACCTCTTTTAAAACTACTTTCAAAAGCGGAGGTTGATTTGTATTTCTTAATCAGCATCTCAGAACAATGTACATTCTTTTTGTATAGTGTCATGGGCATCTGGGACTTTGGCTTGATCAACATCCACTTCCTCCTGTGATACCAAGACCCTAGTTTTCTTTTAAAGAACCACCCCTCCCTGACTCTCAGTCTTTGTTTTCTGGTGGGGTTGACTCTTACCCCTAACCCCAGGGGTGGGGCATGTGGTCCAAGTCTGGCCAATGAGAATTTTAACCATGCTGGTGATTCAAGAATGAGTATATGTTACATGCTGAGCTTATCAGAACCAACATTGTCAGCCACAGGGGTTATGCTAGAAGTATTGGAAAGGATAAATTCTCTTCTGGGGTGGTTAAACCAATAGAAAATTAGCCTGGAGCTTCTGGTGGACATCTTGTCAAAAAAATAGTGATTGCCTGCTTGAGAATGAAATCAAGAGAGAAGAAGGCAAAGCTAAAGCCTGGAGAATATTCCTGAAGACATTTTTCAAGGATCTGGAACCACCCTTGAACTTTTTTTTTTCTTTTTTTTAGAGACAGGGTCTTGTTCTGTTGCCTAAGCTGGAGTGCATTGGTGCAATCATGGCTCACTGCAGCCTCAACTCCTAGTCTCAAATGATTCTCCTTCCTCAGCCTCCCAAGTAGCTGGGACTACAGGCATGTGCCACTGTGCCCAGTGATTTTTTTTTTTTTTTTTTTTTTTGTAGAGATGAGGTCATGTTATGTTGCCCAGGCTGGTCTTGAACTCCTGGCCTCAAGTGATCTTCCCACCTTGGTCTCCCAAAGTAACTGAATTACATGCATGAGCCACTGTGTTTAGCCTGAGCATTTTCAGGTACATAAACAAATATATTGCCCTTATTTGAGTTTCATCACTTGAAACTAAGAATCTTGACTATACACTTAATTGGTTACTAAATGAATTAGGATATAAAGATTTTTTTAAATTAGTTTGCTACAAAATTTTCTGTAATTGGAAGAAAGATGGCCATTCCTCCCCAAAGGAGCTCTTACAACTTGAATTCTTTCATCAGAAAATGCAGTTTCCTTTTGCCTATACACAATCTAAAGATTTTTTAATATACTTCTTTAGTTGCCTAAATGTTCTTTATATGTTTGTCTTGTCCTTGCAGTTCATATTAGATATTATGTTACCAATGAGCAGGGACTATGATGAATGTGTCTTTAGAACACCCAATGAAGTGCCACTTGCCACAAGAAGCTAAGTCACAATCTGATGGCCAGAGGAGGCAATCATTCTTCCTACAGTTTTGTGCATAAACCTTCCTGCCTCTCTGCTGGGGACCACCTATGGGGAAAGGAAAACTTCTCTCTCATGGCTCTCCTTTCCCAGGAAAACTTTAGCTCCTGTTGAGACCAACACCTTCCCTGGAGAATGCAGAGTGAAGGGATTAGGCCCATCACAATTTTCCATTCATGATGTTGGGTCAAGCAAGGCATCACACAGAATGAATAGAAACAGAAACAGCCCCACATGTGAAGTAGGAGCCATGCTGGAATGAACAAGGGCCACGGTATGGGTGAGTTACACGGTACAGAGCACAGGGGCTGACTGCTTTGTGCTCTTCCAGGTGGGATCATTACTTGCCAGCCTTCCAGCTGATGCCAGTGGCAACAGCACGACAGGCTGAACTGGATTCTTTATGACTATGTATTCATTAGGGGGAAAAAGCACTTCCAATGCAAATGATTGAAATGGAAACAAGATGTGCACTCTGCTGCCTAAATGAAAGCTCTACCAGGTAGGCCATTCAAACTCAATTAAGAGTAGCAAAACAGGATCTATCAGGACAGTGGCTGTAACCCCTGTCACAGAGAATGGACAGTGAGCGGTCCAAATGGATTGGGGGGCATGAATGGCACCTGACTTACAGCAGGAGCTCAGCACTTTTACTCTCTTTGCCGCTTCACTGGAACCAGGAGAAAAAGACATTAGGATGAAGGATAATGTGTGATACACACATAAAGATGAAAGCGAGAGGGACACATGCAATGTCACTTATTGGAAGGACCACTTTAGGCTGCTCTGTCCTCTCTCCCCTGAAAACATGTTCCACATTGTTTTAACCATCTGTGGCCCACTCTGGAGCTCAAGGAACCCTGGCCTTTCTGCTTTATTGTGAGCACAGCCATATGAAACTGCAATCTGGCAGCTGAAGGGGAAAGTACTTTTACTGTCTCTGCTGAGAAAGGGTTTGGATGAATCGAATCCCCTGTTATGCGTGAAATTGTACCCTCTAGAAAGCTCTGTTGATGACCCAACCCACGGTACCTGTGAATGTGACCTTATTTGAAAATATGGTCTTATAAATGTAATCAAGCAAAGATGAGATGATACTGAATTAGGGTGGGCCTCCACCAACATGACTGGTGTCCTTATGAGAAGCAAGGAAGAGACATAAGGAGAACATGGTGTGACAATTGAGACAGAGATTGGAGTGATGCATCTACAAGCCAAGAAATGTCAAGGGCCGTGAGCCACACCAGAAGCTAAGAGAAAGGCATGGGACTGACCCTCCCCTAGAGCCATCAGAAAGAGCCTGACCCTGGCGGCACCTTGCTTTTGGACTTCTAGACTCCAGAATTATGAGAATAAATTTGTGTTGCTTTAAGCCACTCAGTTTGTGGTAATTTGTTATGACAGTTCTAAGAAACTAATCCACCCTGCTAAAGAGTAAATGTCTGATGCAAAACTCACTACATGGATGAAAAGGCTGAGATATTCCGAAGAGTCATAATGAACTGTGCCGTCATCTACAAAGGAAGTGCAGCACTGCAACAACTCAAGATAGATTCTGGAGACGTGGCAGGACAGACGTGCCTACCAGACTAGGAGCACTTTCAGGACAGCGTCATGCCTTGTTCTCCTCCACATCCCTCCGTGCCTGAAAATCAGAAATGCTCAATTAAATGTTGAAAATGTCAATAAATTCATAGGAAAACGATCTCAGATAAGTCAATAACGTTATGTTATTTTATTTTATTTTTGAAATGGAGTCTTGCTTTGTCACCCAGGCTGGAGTGTAGTGGCACGATCTCAGCTCATTGCAACCTCTGCCTCCCAGGTTCAAGCGATTCTCCTGCCTCGGCCCCCTGAGTAGCTAGGATTATAGGCATGCACCACCACGTCCAGCTAATTTTTGTATTTTTAGTGGAGACGGAGTTTCACCATGTTGGTCAGGCTGGTCTCGAACTCCTGACCTCGTGATCCACCCACCTCGGCTTCCCAAATTGCTGGGCTTACAGGTGTGAGCCACCGCACCCAGCCATGATTAACCTTATTTTATGATGTCATGTAAGTCCTTACCACCACCTTCCATGAAGACGTAACTGACAAAGACATCTGATTTGATGCTTTCATTGGAGAAACCCACCCTTGGCCATTGAAGAGCACAACTTTGGGTTTCTTTGAGATTTAATCTGGTCCTTGGATTCCCAAATGGCAGACGTGGCCAGTAACAGCTTTTTACAAATCTTCAAATCCCACTGACACTGGGATTCTGCCCCTCAGACGTGGCTGTGGTTTTTTCACTGGCAGGGCAGGATATGTTACTCTCCGCTTAACATCGGCCCACTCACAGTGTTAGTTAGCCTGCTGTTTCATACATGAATCCATCTGAAATGCCTCCGAGTCTCCAGGTGAAGGGTGCTGCCATCAGCAGCAGCCAATAAATGAAATAATACCAAATATAAAATCAGCCACATTGGTCTCCTGGAGGTAAATAGAGCACAGGGGCGTTTCATTTACTGAAAGGCCAGAATTGCGATACCTGTAAATGTTGAATGTGAATGTGTTTTATAAAGTGTAAAGGGCTGTAAAGAAGTCAGTTATTATGTTTATTATTGCTCCTGCTCTGTACACTTGATCAAATGACAAACCCAAAGGCTCACCTCTCTGGGCTCCGGTTTCCTTACTCAAATGAGGGAATTATGTTTAATATCCCAAGCTCCCAACTAAATCTTTTTTTTTTCCTTTGACTCTATGAATCTATCAGCAGGAACTTCCATCCAAATTCCTGAAATGTGGGAATATATTTGATGACGCTGTTTACATATAATATTAATTTATTTTGCATAAATTTTTCAGAATATGTTTTGTATAACATAGAAGATGAAGGGGGAAAAAGTAAAGTAAGATGGGAAAGTAGGCCATAAGGAAGGATAAGGAGAAACGCTTAAGAAAATCCACCTATTATAATAATTAAAATTCAGCTTACCTGGAAAGGGGAGGAGAGCATTTATGATTAACATGAATGTAGTCTGTGCTCATTGCAAAGTAAATTTTCAGAAAAAAAGGGCAAAATCTGATTATTTTAATCGTCAGATTAAATGCAATTAGAAATCCCACCTACCTTTTAAAGTAAACAGCAAACTTAGTATTTTACTACATAAAAGAAACAATTGAAATAATCCTAACTTCAGGTTATCGTTGCATATAACAGAACATTATATTTGAAAATGATCCTCATTGAGTTTTTTGGATTCAACAACTTTTTCTGTGGCTAAAAATGTCCCTTGAGTTTCTGAAATCTGCTAGAATGCTGGGAAGAGCTGTGCAGAAATACCTCCAAAGGGTCAGAAAGTAATTTAGGATTTTTAATTCAATGGAATCAATCTTTCTTGTGTATTTTTACTTACTTTTTTAGACAATAGGCCAATGATTGTAGGGTTTGTTCTAGCCTTGAAACCAACTCTCTGCAGAGCAATTCCTGTTTCCACAAAGGGTGCATCAGGATGCATGGGACCCCCGGATCACAGGCCCCACGTGTGAACGAAGCAACACAGACCATGGATAACAGAGACCTCTCTAGGGTGAGTTCTCTTGAGATGCAGGGCACGATCAACAGGACGAACAAGCCTAAAGATGACAAATGGGTATACTGGCATGGGCTGGACGAAAGGAGGCAATAGGGCTAAAAACACAGAACCAAACCTGTCATTTCTCTCCACAACTTCCTTTTGATCTCAAATATCATGTGTTCTCACTTATAAGTGGGAGCTAAACAATGGGTACACTTGGGCATGAAGATGGAAATCATAGACACTGTGGATTCCAAAGTAGGGGAGAATGGGAGAGGGGCAAGGGTTCAAAAATTACCTGTTAGGCACTATGTTCACTATCTTTTTTTTTTTTTTCTTTTTTGAGACGGAGTCTCGCTTTGTCGCCCAGCCTGGAGTGCAATGGCGCGATCCCGGCTCACTGCAACCTCTGCCCACCAGGTTCAAGTGATTCTCCTGCCTCAGCCTCCTCAGTAGCTGGGACTACAGGCATGCGCCACCACGCCTGGCTAATTTTTGTATTTTTAGTAGAGACAGGGTTTCGCCATGTTGGGCAGGCTGATCTCAAACTCCTGACCTCAAGTGATCCGCCCACCTCGGCCTCCCAAAGTGCTGGGATTACACATGAGAGCCACCGCACCTGGCCTATGTTCACTATCTGGGTAACAAGTACACTAGAAGCCCAATCCCACTGTTATGCAATATACCCATGCCTATGTACGTGTACCCCCTGAAAACATGCATATGTACCCCCGAATCTAAAATAAAATAAAAGAGATGCAGAAAAGAATAATTTAAAAAATATTTTGAGAAATGTATAACAAGAGCCATAAAAGTGTTTATATTCCCTTGTCCTAGTAATTCTGCTTGTGGATATTTATCTTAACAAAATCATCAGAAATGTGTAGAATGATTTATGGATAAGCATGTTCACTGAAGCATTCCTTAGACTATAGGAAAATTTGGGAAAAAAACCCCAATATACAAAAATGAGGAAACACTTAAATTAATCGTAGTCCATTCAGATGATGGAATGCAGTGTAGATATGTAAAAATCATATTTTCAGAGATGGCTGTTGATCAATGAAAATGCCCAATCTATAACATTCCATGAAAAAGACAGATATACAGCCATATATTCCATACAATTATAATTTTAAATATGTATGAATGTGTGTGTATATATAATATATGTGAAAAAATTGGAAAGAAATACACTAAAATGTTAACTCATTATCTCTAAGTGGCAGGATTATGAGATTACAGGTGATTGTTTCTGGTTCTTTGTATTTTTTAGTATTTTTTTTTATTTTTTTGAGATGGATTCTCACTCTGTTGCCCAGGCTGGAGTGCAGTGGCATGATCTCAGCTCACTGCAACCTCTGCCTCCCAGGTTCAAGCGATTCTCCTGCCTCAACCTCCCGAGTAGCTGGGACTACAGGTGCGCACCACCGTGCCCAGATAATTTTTGTATTTTTAGTGGAGATGGGGTTTCATCATGTTGGCCAGGATGGTCTTGATCTCTTGACCTCATGATCCACCCTGCTTGGCCTCCCAAACTGTTGGGATTACAGGCGTGAGCCACTGCGCCTGGCCTATATTTTAGTGTTCTAAGATTTTTCTACAATGACTCTGTATTGCTTTTAATGTCAAAAATCTCAATAATTTTGAAGGTTATGGTATTTATATACTTTTTTAAAAAATGACAAATGTTCTCCCTAAATCAGAAATGTGGACACCGTGTTTTGGCTTTAGTGTAGTGAGGTGGAGTATTATGATTAAATACTGTGTTTTCAAGCATTAATGACTCAAAGAGCAGGTACTTACAGAGCACCTATTATTGCCATCAACCAGTGTTATTGAGCACTTACTCAATAAGTGTTGGCCTCTGACTTTACGCCTAAGAGTCAGGAGACCACAAAAAAGCAACAATGTCAGGTCTGCAAGGTGAAGGCAAGAAGCTCATGTTCTAGGTACTTGTGACTGTCCTGTAATGCTAAAGAATGAACCATTACCAAAGATTTGGCAAACTCGCCCAAGCTTACTCCTAAGGAGTCTAACCTTTGCCCAAGTATCTAGGACTCAGGCCCACCTGCTTAGCCTGGTCTCACTGAAGTGTGGAGGCAAAGCATTTGCAGCTTCATCATATTCCATTTTGTCTCATAAGGAAATTGTGTTAGTCCAAGAGGCTTGGTGTGTTACATGGTTGTACAGCTTAGTGCTTTCTTAGCACTCTGTTTAAGTGCTGACAACTTGATATTTTCATCAATGGTTGCTATATTTCTCCAATGTTAGGTTGACAGGCTAATAATTTCAGAAGTCAATTTCTCCCTCTCTCTCTCTTCTCCCAGTTTACATATTTCTATTTTCCAATTCCTTTATCTGCATTTTGTAAATACCTCAAAATAGTGGAAGGCAAGGCCTCTAGGATCACTTGGCCCAATCTCCATATAATTGGATCCTTAGGGCTTGCTATATCTTTAAAGAAATTGAGGTCACCTTTTGTCACCAAGAATTAAGCACCTGTTGTGTGACTGATGGAGATCTGTACACAGAGCACATTGCCCAGGGCAGGGGTGATTTGGTTACAGGCAGCCTCTCGATGTATGATAAAAGTTGGCATCAGGTTGTAAACATTTTGCTCACTGTAGCAGAAAGCTCTCTGTGAACGGAGAGCTGTCTAAACAGGGTGGTTGGCCACAGAACCTGCCCAGGGATGCACCTCCTTTCCACATTAGCCCATGGCCTTTCCAGCCCTGAAATCTGAGTTGCATGTGAGTCACTTAGACAGGCCATCTGTCAATTATTAAGCGACATCAGTGGGCCCAGCAATTCCATTCTGCGTAGTGCAAAGGTCCTCCACACATTCCAGGTCTATACCATCAAAGTGGCTATTTTTCTCAACCTATCCCTGCCCTTTAAGAAAATGGGGGTCATTTATTTCCAGGGATCACTATTTACACCCCATTGGCAGGTAGTGGAGCCCAGTGGTTAATAAACAACCTTGTTTTAAATCCCATCTCTGTTGTTTGCAAGCTGTGTGTCTTTCAGAAACTTTACTTAAATTTCTTGAGCATCAGTTTCCTCACAAGGGTGTGGTCAAGTGATAATCAAGTATTTGTACTTTAACCCTGTACCTGGCTGATAGCAAGCCCTCAGAAAAGAATTAACTTAGAGTTTTTATACATTCCCTCCAGTACAATGTTCCTAACATACAAGGGGCATATGTGTGTATTATGAGTGGGAAGAAGGAAGGAAGGATGCAATTGATAAGGCTTGCATTCAACATTGCTGTAGTCAAACCCTCTTTCCTTAGGAAGATCTGGATGTGCCAACATTTCTTATATATCATATGTGGAGGTGACTTAGGTTTTTCTTTCAGTACTTCATCATTTGAAAGAGCATTTGGTGATAATGAGCAGGTTCTGAAGTCTGTGAACTAAACTAAAAGTAAAAATAAATGGGACGGTGAAATTTTGTTTGTGCCTTAAGGGAACTCCCTTTTACCCTCCCACTATGTTGATGATGTCATGTTTGTTCTAACATATCATCTAACAATTCCCTCCATTCATTTTTTTTCTCCTTATTTCTTTTCCTTTCAAGTAACAGTATCTTCAACAATCGTTCGGCTGTTCAGGAACTTAAAAATCATGAGACGATTCTTAAAGGATAGGAACTAACATTGATCACACAGTGTGTAATCCCACATCTATATACTGGCAAATGATGGCACAAACACCATAAAATCTCAGCTTGCTTTGTAGCCATTCTGGATTGCTGAGTTCTAGGCAAGTAAGAGCTGGTCCTTCAAAGCACCAAAAGAAAGAAAGGAAGGAAGGAAAGAAGGGAGGTGGGCAGAGAGGGAGGGAAGAAGGAAGGAGAGGGAGGGAGGGAGAGAGAGAGAAAGAAAAAGAAAGAAAGAAAGAAAGAAAGAAAAAAGAAAGAAAGAAAGAAAGAAAGAAGAAAAAGAAAGAGAGAAAGAAAGAAAAAGAAAGAAAGAGAAAAAAGAAAGGGGGAGAGAGAAGGAGGGAGGGAGGGAGAAAGGAAGGAAGGAAGGGAAGGAAAGAAAGAAAGAGAAAGAAAGAGAGGGAGAGTGAGGGAGGAAGGAAGGAAGGAAGGGAGGGAGGGAGGAAAAGAAAGAAAGAAAAGAGAAAGAAAGAAAGAAAGAAAGAAAGAAAGAAAGAAAGAAAGAAAGAAAGAAAAAGAAAAAAGGAATGGAGGGAGGAAGGGAATAAAGAAGGAACAAAAGAGAAGATTTTGGCAGAACACTTTCTAAAATGTAACTCAACCGCCCCTGCTTTCTTAAAGAGTGGAGGAACTTTATTTAACTTCTTATTTTTTTCTTTTCTTGGTTGTAACATTATCACAAAAAGAACTGATTTCACTGCTATCGGATAAAAAATAATAGGTTTAGGCCATGGTTGGGGGGAGAGAGAGAGAGAAGTGAGAGAGAAAGACACACACACACACACACACACACAGAGAGAGAGAGAGAGAGAGAGAAAGAGAGAGGGAGAGAAATATTTGCCTGCACACCTGAGAGGTCCCAAATTACTGTGCCTTTTGGAATTCTTGTGCCTGTCTGTTTTTTACATTTTTTTTCTGTTGCTCTCTTCTTTGGGCCATCAGCAGTTACCTCTTGTTAGTGTGCAAGACTATGCAAAGCCTTCTCCCTAATGCTGATTTTCTATTTCTAAATTGCTGTGGGCATAGAGAAACTCACACTGGTTAAGGATATGTGTGCAATAAACATAAATGCTTTTCAAGTCAGGAACTGAGGGCTGGTTCTTCTCTGAGAAAAGCATAAGAAAAGCGTCTCTCAAGTGTTGTTTTATTTTTTAAAAAATTCATTGTTTCTAAGCTATTTTCTAGATATGTGAGGCTAGCAATGGCTCAGTTCTATGTAAATAAAAATATATATTAAGTATTGTCAACCTACCCGCCCCACCCCTGGCAGAGATTGCTTACTCAAATGCTTACATTCGGATGATATATATCTTTCTTGCCCTGAAGTTTTGAAAATTTTAATAGCTCCATGGATTGAAATGACATGAGAGAAAAATATTTCAAGTCTCTTTTAGAATTTTTATGCTCATAAAAATGTTCCCAGTGTATCAAAGGCAAGTTTGATCTCAGAGAAGTCATATCCTCCAAAATCTATCTCAGGTGCTATCTCCCTATTGATGACACTTTCCTCTTTTCCCAATTGGTTTATAAAACTCATTTTCCAAGTGGGCAAAGGACATGAATAGACACATCTCAAAAGAATACATGCAAGTGGCCAACAAACATATGAGAAAATACTCAATATCACTAATCATCAGAGAAATGCAAATTAAAACCACAATGAGATACCATCTCACACCAGTGAGAATGGCTATTAAAAAGTCAATAGGCTGGGGGTGGTGCCTCAAGCCTGTAATCCCAGCACTTTGGGAGGCCGAGGTGGGCGGATCACGAGATCAGGAGTTCAAGACCAGCCTGACCAATATGGTGAAACCCCGTCTCTACTAAAAATACAAAAATTAGCCAGGCCTGGTGGCGTGTGCCTGTAGTCCCAACCACTCGGGAGGCCGAGGCAGAAGAATCACTTGAACCTGGGAGGTGGAGGTTGCAGTGAGCTGAGATCACACCACTGCACTGCAGCCTGGGAGACAGAGCAAGACTACGTCTCAAAAAAAAAAAAAATCAATAAATTACAGCTGCTGGCAAGGATGTGGAGAAAAAGGAATGCTTATACACTGTTATTGGGAATGTAAATTAGTTCATCCCCTATGGAAAACAGTATGGAGATTTCTCAAATAACTAAAAATAGAACTACCATTTGACCCAGCAACCCCACTACTGGGTAACTACCCAAAGGAACAGAAATCGTTATGTCAAAAAGACACCTGCACTCAGATGTTTATAGTTGCACTAGTCACAATAGCAAAGAGGATGGAATCAACCTAAGTGCCCATTCCTGGTGGGCTGGATAAAGAAAATGTGGTACCATGGAATATTATGCAGCCCTAAAAAAGAATAAAATCATGTCCTTTGCAACAATATGGATGCAGCTGGATGCCATTATCCTAAGTGAATTAACATAGAAACAGAAAACCAAATGTCATGTTCTCACTTATAAATGAGAGCTAGACAATAGGCATACGTGGACATAAAGACAGAAACAGTAGACACTGGGGATTCCAGAAGGGGAGACAAAGGGAGTGGGGTAAGGGCTGAAAAACTACCTATTGGGTACTATGTTCACTATTGGGGTGATGGATTCAATAGCAGCCCAAACCCCAGCATTATGCAATATACCCTTCTAACACACCTGCACAAGTATACCCTGAGTCTAAAATTTTTTTAAGTTAATTTTTAAAAAACTCATTTTCCATGACTGGTCATTTCTGTTTAAGATTCTATTGGTCAAAACTGCTATCTAGGCAGTTGCCAGTCCTTCAGGATTTCCAAGCAGAAACCATAATGAGTATTAAAAATCAGTGGGCTGGGAGCTCTAAGTCCCCAAACACATTCACAGTCAACCATGTGATGTTCCCCATTGACAACCCACAAGCAGAGGCAAGCTGCGGGGTGCCGCCCGACCAGAGCAGATTGCAGCCAGGCTGGCCTTCCTGAAAGACACACACACTGGTCCCTGGACCCTGGGACGCCCCCGCTCCCCCGACTGTTTATGTTTGCTGTCACACACTGAACAATCACGCGGTACACTTCACAGTCAGCAAGTTTATCTTGAGTTAAAGTTTGACCAGTAGAAACCAAGTTGTGTTTACCCCCGTCCTACAGCAAGTCATGTGCAAATAGCACCTGTGAACATTTTTCAGCACACATTCTGTACCCTCTCCATGGTTCTCATGGCAATGAATGTTGCGGGGAAAGCCAGTAAGCGTGAAAGCTTTGGCAAATGTTAAAATCCTCTCCGGAAATGGTTCACAATCACTGACATCAGGGTGCATGGGTCATGACCATCTTCGTCGTTAGAGCACATTCCCTCTTCCCCAAAATGCAAACTCAACCCAATAACCCTTCTACTAAACAGACTAGAAACTCTGAATGCTGTGACATATTTTCTCACTGTAATAAGAATACACTTACATGTTTTTTTAATTGTTAGAATTTAAAAGGATTTTATAGACTGGATTTCACAATACTTTCCAACTGTTGTATTTCATATTTATGCATTGGTCACAATGTGTTAAGCACTATTCTAAGTGCTTTCAAATATTATTAATTCATTTATTCCTCCTAACAACTTTGTGAGATAAGTACTATTATTACCCCATTTTACAGATCTGCAAACTGAGGCACAAAGAGATTCAGTAATTTGTCCAAGGTTACATGCATTGCTAGAGAGTGGTAGAGCCAGTGAGTTGAACCCAGGCCCAGACAAAAGCAAGTATATACCCATTTTCCATGCTGCCTTACTACATAAATGTAAGTATTGGTAATACTGTCTCTTTTTTTCCAAATAAATTGAAGAGAAGCTGATTTTTTAAATATTTACTATATTAGTTTGCTAGGGCTACTATAACAGAGTACCCTAGACTCAGTGGCTTAAACAATAGAAACTTATTTTCTCACAATTCTGGCGGCTAGATGTCTGAGATCAAGGTGCCATCAGGCTTGGTTTCTCTTGAGGCCTTTCTCTTTGCCTTATAGATAGCCACCTTCACCAGTTCACCTTACACGGATTTCACCCTGAGTGCATCTGTATCCTAATTTCCTCTCCTTAAAAAACACCAGTCGTATAGGATTAGGGCTCACAGCAATGACCTCATTTGAACTTAATTACCTCTTTAAGACCCCGTCTCCAAATAGAGTCCCATTCTGAGGTTAGTGGGGTTAGGGGTTCAACATATGAATTTTGGGGGACACAATTCACTATAACATCTACTACATGGTCATAATGTGCTAGCTACTATATGAAATGTCAAAATGTTGAGCTCCAAGTTCTTTAAGAAGGCACAGTATTCATAGTGGACATTTATTTGAATGACAAAGTTGACACGGCTCTTGTTTCTTTCTAGAAGGTTGACTTGACCATGCTCTCCAATTTGAAGTGGGTACTATGACCGAGGCATAGTGCTTGCCATTGTTTTACCTTGACTTCCTCACTTCGTACACCAAGGGTGAGAAACTGTTCATCTCTCTCTATCGTCTGTGTTTCATCTCTCTCTCTCTTTATCATCTGTCTTTCATCCATGTAGCTATTTATGTATCTACTGATCTGTCTGACTATCTATATGTCAATCAGTCATCTCAATGGACCACAAATTAAGGAATGAAGTAGTCATCTTGCTATTATGTGTGTCTTGGGCATGTCTTTAAAAAGACTCCATTTTAGCTTTCTCATTATAAAATGTGTCTCTTAAGCCAACTGTAGAAAGTAAGACTTAGTATAAAGGGAAGGAGCTTTATGGCAGGAAATCTAAGGTAAGCCATCTTTTATGACTAGAAGTAAATCCCTGGGTACAGGGAAAAATCAGAGATGTGGAAATAATAGGCGCGTGTATATGTAAGTATGAGATATTCATCTCACAGCGCCTGTCATGTAGGAGGTGATTTAAAATTATTAAAGGAAGGAAAACAGTATCCTGTCCCAGTTTTTTCCAACAAATGTCATAAACAGATACCTGCAATGATTTAGGTCCCTACAATATAATTTTACTTCTCATATAAAAGCAAATATTATCCTGCCTCTCCTACTTCTAATTCCCCAAGGAGAGCATGTCCTTCTTAACTGTGTTCATCACTTCTGCAATTACTGTGAATGTGGAAGTGCTATTTAAATAAATTTTAGAGCATTATACGAGTGTTACCATGAATGTTTGCCACTCCTTTCCCTTCTTTTGGTTTTGAATCCCAGGAAACTAAAAACAAAATTGGACACTAGTGAAATGAAGTTGCCAGGATAATGCTGAGTAAACTATGGCAATCCTTTGTTAACCCTAGTGTTGTAATAATGAGGTTCAGCATTTGTTTTTTAAAATTTCAAAATCTGTGATCTTTTAGCAGATGTTGGGCTCAGTTCAATATCCTTCACAGTGATGACTTTCCTTTCCTGTAGGTTATGCATGCCAGGATTGAGGAACTGCCTGTGTTCTACCCTTCAATGAATGGATAGAAATGTAGATCCAGAAAAAAAAATGTGCCCTTAAGTTCCTCAATATTTTGGGAAGTTGCCAAGTGGTTACTGTAGTAGATTACGGCATTGTTTGCAATTATTTGTCCTTTCTCCTTTAAAAGGGTTATATATCCCTGCCTTAGACCCCTTATAAGTAAGTGTACTTCCCTGTCCCTATCAGGCTTGCTCATGTGATTTTCATTGGCCAATGACGTATGAGTAGACAAGGTATATGCCACTTAGGAGCAGAAGCTTTAAATGTGATCATGTGGTTCCACTTGGTCTCTTGCTCTTCTGCCCTGTTCCAAGAGAAAAGCATTTTCCAGATAGGAGCTGCTCCTTCAGCTGCATCCTGGGATGAGAAAACACATGGGACAGAGCCATAGCAGACTCATAGCCTACGTGTATCATGAGCAAGAAATACATTGATGACGTAACAACTGAGATTTTGGGGGATTGTTTGTTATGCAGTGAAGCTGACTAATACAGTTACACAAGATTTTGCTGAGATTTGCACAAATAAAACAAGGGAGGATGTGAGTGCAAGAAGATGTTATACTTCACAGTAAGGGCTAGTTTCTAAACATGAAAGAACACATAGCTTATGTAACATGACATTTGTTGGAGAATATGCCCTAGAAAATCATGATATCACAGATATATACTAAATATCTGAAGGAGATTACGGAGAAAACATTTCCAGCGGAGGAGTTCTTTAATATAGACAGAGCTTGTTTCAGAATTGGTATCTTCCTGAATATTTGGTTTGTGTATATATTTTTACATATATATGTGTAATTACTCAAACATAGTATCATTTTAAATTTTTATTCTCTAAACCCCATTTTTAATGAGTTCTTGATCTTGCCAACTAAGGTTCTGTTAATATTTTTCAGAAGTGTACGATAGGTTACAGATTATAGCTCTGCACGCCAGTAGGTTTAGAAATAAGTGTTTATTGAATGTAAATACTACAAGGAGAAAACTGGAGCACCATGATAAAACTTGAGCTTAGAATAGTACCTGGTATAGAGTAGATGCTAAAAAATACTTATTGATTGACTGAGTAAATTACAATACTGTAGAGTTTAGGTAAGATAAGGGGTAACTTTGTCCTGAGGTTTGTTTGCTGTTTATTTAATTATGAATTCTCTCCCTTCTCATTCCATAAAGACTCTGGGTCAACTCATTCTGGAGGATGTGCCTCATACAAGTCATTTCTTTTTCTTTGTTTTCCTACACAGAAAGTGGGAATCGTAAGAGTGAGAAGAAAATGTTTAAAATGTTTGGAGAACTTTTGCGCTTTATAACTGTACTCCCTTGCCCCTTTTCCCTGCTTGTTGAGTATTTGTGGCTTATTGCTGTTGTCTCTGTGATTGATTCAGAGTCCACTCTGATGACTCCTGTTCTGCTCTCTACCTTATGCTGTGCTGGGCATGCCTATGAGCGGAAGACCCCAATTCATGGTCTCGAAAGCTGTGTTGGAGGACAATGAATGGGGAGAATGCAGTCTTGGAAATTTGGAAATAGGTGGGATCCAAAGAGCACCCCAATATAGCATTTGCTTATTGTTCATAAAATAGTTGTTGAATGCATGAATATATACTTTTTGAGACTGTAGAGATGCTTGTAGGAAGAGCAGCTGAACACCTGGCGAGGATAGCGATTATTTGCATGTGTCCAGCTGTGTGCCTGTGCCAGGGCTAAGTCTCCTAGGAAACCAGAGTAGCACCACATTGTGAACCTGATGTCATGACGGTGGCAAGCAGTTTAGTTTCCTGCCTCCACCAGAGTGAGGGCATACTTGGTGTTAGTAAATTTCATAAATGTAACATTTTAGGTATTAAATAGATTTTAATTAAATAAATTATATATTTCTGAAATTAAATAATTAACAATAATAAACCTCCTCATTTACCCTCAAATATTGAGGTAGTAAGAGAAGAGTAATCATTTAGGTTTATGCCTTTCTGGGTATCAGTATTTAAGAGCACCCAGGAATAGCTGAAGTTGTCTTTTCTCTGTCTGAACCCCCTCCAGTAACTTGCATGCCCTGTAAAGGCAGAAATTACACATGCCTGGTTCACTGCTGGGTCCTCAGTTACTACCTGGGTTCCTTCTTGTTACAGGCACTAATACAGACTTGATGACTGCTTGATGAGCTGTACTGAGAGGGCCCAAAGCCATGACAGGCCCAGCCCACATCACTGCTTGGCAGGAGCCGCTCCTAAGTCAGTGTTGCCCTGGGGAATCTGAGAAAACACCTAGGTGGATAAATTAGTACATTTCTGGCCAAAGGGCCTCTCTGAAATCTCACACAAATTAGTTGCAGAAAAAGAGCACTTAAGGTGACTCATGCCTGTAATCCCAACACCTTGGGAGGCCGAGCCAGGTGGATCTCTTGAGGTCAGGAGTTCAAGACCAGCCTGGCCAACATGGCAAAACCCTGTCTCTACTAAAAATACAAAAATTAGCCAGGCGTGGTGGTGTGCGCCTATAGTCCCAGCTACTCGGGAGGCTGAGACAGGAGAATCACTTGAGCCCAGGAGGTGGAGGTTGTGGTGAGCAGAGATCACACCACTGCACTCTAGCCTGGGTGACAGAGCAAGACTCTGTCTCAAAAAAAAAAGAGAACATTTGGTATTTAATGTTAAACATGGACGGATATCTATAATATTAATAAGACCTTCTATTTGTTGAGCAATACTATGTTTTAAACACTGACATTAATTCATTTAATGCTCACAGCCACTCTATGAGGTCTTGTGGTAGGCTGTCTCTGCGATGACCCCTGTTGATCCTCACCTCCTAGCATTCACTTCCTTGTATAATCTCTTCTCCTTGAGTGTGGACTGGATTCATATACTTGTCTTGAATGAGTAGAGTATGTCAAAATAATAGGATGTCCCCTTCAAGATCAGATTGTAAAAAGTCTGTGGCTTCTGTCTTTGGTGCTCCAGCTGCCATGCCATGAGCCACCCTGTAGAGAGGTCTATATGACAAAGCACTGAGGGAGACCCCCAGCCAACAGCCAGGGAGAAAGTGGAACCCTCAGTCCAACCGACTCCATTGGATGCAATCCTGTTGGCAACCACGTGCATGGACTTGGAAGAAGATCCTGCCCCAGTCACACCTTCAGATGGGACTGTAGCCTCAGACAGTAGTTGGACTGCAACCTCATGAGATACTTTGAGCCACAAGCTCCTGGCTGAGTCGTGCTTGGCTTCATAACCCACAGAAGTTGTGGCTAATACATGTTTACTGGTTCAAGCTGCTAAGTTTTGGGATAATTTATCATACAGCAATAGATAACAAATATAGGTAGGTACAGGTATTATTTGCATTTTACAGAAGAGGAAACTGAGGTTTAGAGAGGATGGAAATGATGGAGCCAGGATGTGGACCTTCAAATATGACTCCAAGGACTGCACAATTGATAACAAGAATCAGTTTTGGATAATGTTAAGCATATTACTGTTGTTCAGTCCAGGTTGGTACTGTGCAGAAACTACGTGCTTCCAGACTCTAGAAAAGCTAATATGAGCAGAAAAAAGGATGGTTTCCTCCCAAGCCAGGTAAAGATTTTAAAAGATACACAAGAAAAAAATTATAGATCATACAGGCAACGACAGAGCATTAACATTCCATTTCTAACAAAGATGATCTTAGTATTAGTCAGAGTTCTCCAGAGAGACAAGACCAATAGGAGATAGATGGATGGATAGATGGATGGATGGATAGATGATAGATAGATAGATAGATAGATGATAGATAGATAGATAGATAGATAGATAAAGAGAGGATTATTAGGGGAATTGGCTCATATGATTATGGAGGCAGAGAAGTCCCATGACAAGCCGCCCACAAACTGCATGCCTGCAGTATGGCTCAGTCCAAAAGCCTCAGAACCAGAGAAGCCAATGGTGCAACTCTGAGTCTGAGGCCAAAGGCCTGAGAACCCAGGGTGTCCTGGAGTCTAAAGGCTGAAAAGCCTGGAGTTCTGATATCCAAGGGCAACAGAAACAGGGTGTCCCAGGTCCAGGAGAAAGAAAGAAAGATTTCTCCTTTCCTCTGCCTTGTTGTTCTATGTGGGCCCCCAGCTGATTGGATGGTGCCCGCCTACATTGAGGGCAGATCTTTCCCACTCGGTCCACTGACTCACATGCCAGTCTCCTCTGGAAACACCCTCACAGACACACCCAGATTTGAGGCTTTACCAGCTCTCTAGGTATTCCTTAATCCAGTTAAGACCTAAAATTAACTATCACAGCTTCCCTGCCTTCCAGTCCACCACTCAAAAATAACCATTCTCAGCAGTTCCTTCTGTTCTCTATTGCCTCAAAATTATGCAAAACACAGCAAATGTGGATGTACATTTGCATATATAAAAATATTGTGTGTGTGTATGTGTGTGTGTGTGTGTACGCATATACATGTACAGCTGACTCTAGAGCAACATGAGGGTTAGGGGCACCGATCCCCCAACACAGTTGAAAATCTGCATATAACTCTTGACTCCCCTAAAACATAACTACCAAAAGCCTATTGTTGATCAGAAGCCTTGCCAATAACACAGTCAAGCAACACCTATTTTATATGTTATATGTCTTAGATTCTGTATTCTTAGAAAAAAGTAAGCCAGAGAAAAGAAAATGTTATTAAGAAAATCATAAAGAAGAGAAAATCTACTTACCATGTGTCAAGTGGTAGTGCATCATCCTAAAGGTCCTCATCCTCATTGTGTTCATGTTGAGTAGGCTGAGCAGTGGGGAGGAAGAGGAGGGATTGGTCTTGCTGTCTCAGGGGTAGCAGAGGTAGAAGAAAATCTGTGCATAGTGGACCTGCACAGTTCAAGCCCATGTTGTTCAAGGGCCAATTGTGTACACAACACCACACACACGCACACACACACACACACGAATGTGCACAAAAATTTGGGATCATGGTTATTTCTATTATTTATTGCTACATAACAAATCACCCCCAAACGTAGTGGTCTAAAACAGTAGCAAGTGTTTCCCGGCTAATTTTTTGTATTTTTAGTAGAGACGGGGTTTCACCGTGTTAGCCGGGATGGTCTCGATCTCCTGACCTGGTGATCTTCCCGCCTCCATCTCCCAAAGTGCTGGGATGTGTTTTGGTATAATTTTGTCAAGGTAGTAGTAATCTAAATTCAAGCAGTGGAATTCCTGGATCAAAGGGAACATACATTGAAAATTACAATTGCTATTGTTAAATTGCTCTCAGATGAGTCTATTAATATTAGCAACATGACCACCAGTTAACAGTCCCCATAACAATATTTATGAGTTCCTTTCTCCACATATCTTCACAGGCACTAATTATTTTTGCCAATTAGGTGAACACTTTATAATTTTTGCCAATTAGGTGAACAATGGCATCCTGTTATGATTTGGATATGCATTCTTAATTTCAAGTAAGTGTGCTTATCACACATTTGTGTGACTTTCCTTATAAGCTGCCCATTCATATTCTTTGCCCAATTTTTAATTTATTGATTCGTGCCAGCTTTTCTTTATTGGTTTGTACCAGCTTTTTATAATTTAAGAAAATTAACCCTGTGTTTCTCATATATGTTGCAAGTATTTGCCCTGATTGTCACATTTTTAAAGGTAATTTTGTCATACAAAAGGATGTATACTTTTATGGCATTAAATTTATAATTTTTTAAATCTGTGGCTTCTACACTAGAAAGGACTTTGCTAGACAGAGATGATCAATAAACACACCCATGATTTTTTAAACCTTATGGTTTCAAATTTTACCTTTAAATTTTTTATACACATGGAATTTATTGGGGGAAAGAGTGTGGTAAGAATGAGCTTAATTTATTTTTTTAAGTGGCTAGCCACTGGTTCCAACACCGTTTGTTGAATAGCCCTTCTTTTCACCTCTTACAAGCAGCCTTTACTACTTTCACCTGTTCCACCCTCATCAAGTGTCTACTGCCTACCCCTTTGGGTAGATGATGACAATGACCTAGGATTAGGGCAGAAGCTACTGTTCCTATAAAGAGAAGGCCCTTTATATAACTTCTTACTACAAGCATATACATGCCCTACCTTAGAGGCTAAGCTGATCTGTCCACTCACCCCCACCCCCAGCCTCTCTGAGATAATTTTCCTTATGCATATTTGGCAATTCTTGCCCACTTGTTTTGTTTTTGTTTTTTTTTTTTTGAGACAGAGTCTCGCTCTGTTGCGCAGGCTGGAGTGCAATTGCGATAGCACGATCTCGACTCACTGCAGCCTCTGACTCCCGGGTTCAAGCAATTCTCCTGCCTTGGCCTCCCAAGTTGCTGGGATTACAGGTGCCTGCCACCATGCCCATCTAATTTTTTTTGTAATTTTAGTAGAGACAGAGTTTTGCCATCTTAGCCAGGCTGGTCTCAAACTGCTGACCTTAGGTGATCTGCCTGCCTTGGCCTCTCAAAATGCTAGAATTACAGGCATGAGCCACAGCACCCGGCCAGCACTTGATCATTTATGGGTCAGTGCTCTAGGCGCAACCACTCTGTAAGTCACTTTCACAAAGTGTTCTTCAAGATTATTCATTTTCTCCTCAATAGATGCAGAAAAAGCATTTGACAATGTTCAACATTCTTTCTTGATTAAAAAGTCTCAACGCTTTAGGTATAGAAGGAAATTTCCTCAACATAATAAAGGCTGTTTATGAAAATCCTAGAGATAGCAACATAAGCAGTGGGAAAAATGGAAAGCTTTTCCTCTAAGATCCAGTACAAGGCAGGGATGCCCATTCTTGCCACTTCTATTCAACATAGTATTGAAAGTACTACCCAGAGCAGTCAGATAAGAAAAAAATATGAAGGGCATCTAAATCAGAAAAGAAGTAAAATTATCCCTTTTTATCGGTGACATGATCCTATATGTAGAAAACCCTAACAACTTCAAACACACAAAAAAAACCTGTTTAAACTAATAAACGAATTCAGTAAAGTTGGAGAATACAAAATCAACATACAAAAATCAGTACCTTTCTTCACAACAATAATGACTTATCCAAAAAATAAAGAAAACAATTTCATTAATAACATTAAAAAGAATAAAATAATTAGGAATAAATTTAACCAAGTAGCTGAAAGACCTGTACACTAAAAATTATAAAACATTGATAAAAGAAGTTTAAGATGACACAAATAATGGAAAGAGATCCCATATTCATGGACAGAAAGAATTAATATTGTTAAAATGTTCATAGTACACAAAGCAGTATGAAGATTCAAAGCCATCCTTGTCAATATTCCAATTACATTTTTTACAGAACTAGAGAAATCAGTTCTAAAATCTGTATGGAATCACAGAAGACCCCAATAGCCAAAGTTATTAAGAAAGAAAAACAAAGTTGAAGTCATCATACTTGGTGATTTTTAAATTTTACTACAAATCTATAGTAATCAAAACAGTATGGTATTGACATAAAAACAGACACATGAACCAACAGAACAGAATAGACAGTCCAGAAATAAACCCAAACATATACAATCAACTAATTTTTGACAAGAGCACCAAGAAGGTACAATGGAGAAATCAGTCTCTTTAGTAAATCGTGTTGGGAATGCAAGATATCCACATGAAAATGAATGAAGTTAGACCTTATCTTACAACAGACACAAAAATCAACTTAAAATAGATTAAGATGTAAGTTAAGACCTGAAACCATGAAACTCCTAGAAGAAAACAGGGGGAAAGCTCCTTGGCATTGGCCTTGGCAATGACTTTTTTTTAAATATTACATCAAAACCTCAGGCAACAAAAGCAAAAATAAATAAGTGGGACTATATCAAATTAAAAATTTTCCACACAGCAAGGAAAACAATCAACAAAATGAAAAGAATAGAGCCTATGGATTGTGAGAGAATATTTGTGTACCATATATTAGTAATTGCTGTTTTTGCCATTACTTTTAATGGCATTAATGGCAGTTTCTGCCATTACTTTTAATGGCAAAAGCCACAATTCCTTTTGCACCAACATGATATTTGATACAGGGTTAATATACAAAATATATAGGAACTCACACAACTCAAAAGCAACAACAAGAACAGATAACCCAGTTAAAACATGGGCAAAGCACCTGAACAGACATTTCTCCAACGAAGACATAAAAATGGCCAGCAGGTGTATGAAAAGGTGCTCAGCATCACTAATTATCGGAGTAATGCAAATCAAAACCACAATGTGATATCACCTGACATCCATCAAGATGACTATTACCAAAAAGAAGAGATAACAAGTGTTGGACAGGGTGCGGAGAAAAGGGAACCCTTATACACTGTTGGTAGGAATATAAATCGGGACAGTCATTATGGAAAAAATTGCAGGGGGTTCTCAAAAAAACACTAAAAATAGAGCTACCTATCATATGACTCAGCAATCTCTGTGCTGGATATATGCCCAAAGGAAATTAAATCAGTACCTTACAGAGATACCTGCTCTCCCATGTTCATTGCAGTATTATTCACAATAGCCAAGATATTGAAGCAACCTAAGTGTCCATCAACTGACGGATGGATAAAGAAATTGTTCATCACAGGGATTTGGTAAAAGCAGTTTCCCTGTGTTAGCACAACTTATTGAGGGATTGTAAAGGTCAGCCAAAGGAAAGGATACAATCATGGTCTAACTCAGACCACAGACCAGTATGGCTTGAACATTTTCCTTAATCAGTATGCTTTTATGCACACACACACACACACATATGCACATATATATACATATAGTGGAATATTACACAGCCTTTAAAAAGTAGATATTGCCATTTTTGACAACATGGATGAACCTGGAGGACATTATGTTAAGTGAAACAAGCCAGCCACAGAAAGAAAAATACTGTGATTCATCTTATATGTGGAATCTAAAAAAGAAGTTAAATAAGTAGAAAAGAGACAGTAGAATGGCTGTTACTGGGGATGGGAGAGGGAGAAGTGGGGAGAGGTCAAAGGGTGCAAATGTAGGATAAATAAATCTAAAGGTATGGTGTACAGCATAGTTAATAATATTATATTGTATACTGGAAATTCGTGAAGAGAGTAGATTTTAGGTGTTCTTATCATACACACACAAAAAATAACTGCGAGATGATGAATATGTTAATTTGCTTGACTGTAGTAACGATTTCACTCTGTATATATATGTCAAAACATCATGTTGTATGCCTTAAATATAGACAATTTTGTTAAAAAGGGAAAAACTACCAATGAATAAAATGGAATTTTTAAAACACCATTTGTCTCTGTAGAGTTGAATCGCTGTAGGAGTTGATATTGACGTGACCCTTCTCTTTGTGAAGGCACATGGCACTTTGCACTGTGTCATGAATCCTTTTGGTTTGGTGGGGTGGGTACCCCCTACCTCTATTTATGTGATAAAAGCTAGGATTATACTGAAGGTCCCTTTACCTCAGTATAAAATTTGTTTTTGTTTTTTTCAATTGCCTAATCTAGGCTGCTTGGAAAAAGTTACATTGGTGCCGGGATTCAGCCCTTGCCTGGACAGAGGTGGCCGCTAGAGTCATCAGCATGGACACTGGCACCAGTGACTACATAGGTCCCAGGATCGTAGCCAGCCACCTCGGGTGCCTCCGGAGACCACTTGAGAAGTGCAGAGACTGTGGGCCAGCCCCTCATTCTTGTCTGAGACAGTGATGCCCTCCCCACTCAGTAATTATGCACAGCTAGCAGAGGTGGGAGCTGGGTTCTCCCACACCCTGCAGCAAATCGGAAATCCCAGGGTGAGGACAGGAGGATAGAATTGTTGTGCCAGCTCAGCACCCACTCCTCTTGTGTGCCCAGGCAGGCTGCTGAGATCCCCCAGCATTCTGGGCTGGGCAAGAACTCAGATTTCCACCTGAGGTTGGAGAAGCTTCAGAGTTCAGCCCCTGACCAGCAGAGTCCTGGGAGAGAGGGCAGTGCTAGCAGATAAAATCTCAGCCAATGGGGCTGTGCAGGTGGCCCCAAGGCCTCCAGCTCCACAGATAAGAATCAGAAGCACAGCCATCTCAATTAGAAAGCAATTTGAGTTATCACGCTAATTAAAGGGGTGTGCAGGCACAAGACCTGACTAGATCTAGATCCCTAACGTTAACAAAAATCAGATGGTTGAGAATAAGAATTTCACATAAATAGAAATGTGAAAGTACGATGTGCAACTGAGAAGTTGCCATGATTTTTTCTTTTCAGGCTGTTGGTAATTTTCATCATCAGATACATTATTTCTGATGGGGGAGGGGTGGGGGTGTGTGAATAGGGCCGCTGACTTTTTTGTTCATTTAAAATCAGTATAATTTGCTGAAGAAGGTTGAATGACTCCTACATTTTTTAAGGCAGCTCTGAAATGAATGGCTTCATTTAATCACAAAAGAAGGAATACCAGCAAGACCACCCAGGCCCCAGCTCCGGTTTTTCCTGAAGAATTTGGCCGCATCTCCCTTTTTGAAGGCAGAGTTTCATCTTGTAAGTATAAGATTCCTTTGTTTCTTTGATGATCCTAAAGCACTGGTGTCATCTGAGGGAAATGACCTTTTAGGTAACAACACCAGCCATCACTGGGGGCTTTCCGTGTAAGAGGACCACACTGAAGTCACAGGCTATGAAGCTGTCCTATAAGAGGCAGGTGAGGCTCCCTGGGCAGGTAACAGGTGGGGAAGAGGCATCCAGGCACATGTCGTGCTGTGGTTCACAAAAGGTGCGACCACCACTATCTACAAGAGGCTGACAAAAACTATTTTGCAAAAAGAGAACCATGACTGTTTGGATCTTGAAAAGTTTAAGGGTCCTCCTCCCCTCCCCAGGCGGCCATGAGCATCTGAGGCCGGCGCCTGTGGCAAGACGTAGCAATGAGCCACCAGGTCCCTAAGGTACTACGTTGCATTTCTCAATCTGACTTTGTTTAGTTTGGGGAAAACATTTTTTCGGTCCTGAAAAAAAAAATCACTGTGGTTTCTCTCCTACTCCCGCCCTCTGTAATCGCCACTTGCAAGAGTTTCACCATTTTCCCGGAAAACCAAAAAAATGAGGATGCTGGGCAGACATTCTTTGTTTCTTTTCTTCCATCTCCCTCTGCCCCAGGCCGTCTCGTCTGCCCACTCTCCCTACACCTCCTTCCTTCACGCTGGGCTCGCCTCTTTCTCCTTACCAGATTTCCTTTTCGGAATCCAGCTCAACCCTCACCTTGGTAAATAACGCCTCAGTAGACTTAGAGGTAGCCCGGGTCCTTCCGCCCATACGGTGCCAGCACACCCTTGGCCCCATCACAGGCTCAGGCTCAGCCAGCTGCGGGCAGTTCACTGCTTCCTCTCTGCAGCACCCCCTGGTCATCCTGCTTGATGTTTCCCTTCTCCCTGTGGGCACTTGTAGCTTATCAACTCACTCATCAACCAACAGCTCCTGAGCTCCCACTAAGGATCAATTGCACTGTGCAATATTATTTTGCACCCGCCCTTTTGGAAGCCTTCTAACGTCATTTCACATGCATAGGCACGCAGGCTTCTCTCCTCCACCACATGTTGTCAACTGACCTATTCCTGTCCTTTCTACTCCCTTTACCAGGGTGGTGTCAGGAGTGAGTAGCACATTAGTCAAAGCCCCTGGATTCTCTTAAACGGTTCTGCTACTGACTCACTATGTGAGTGTAGACAAGTCACTTCCCTTTCTCAGCCCTAACTTCCCCAGCCATAACATGCTCTCTGTAGTCTGGAAAGAACACAGCTAGAATGAATGGGATGTCCTCTATACACAGGGCAACTCCATAATTCATTGTCCAGCTTTCACTTTCGAGAACAGCAGGGGGTGTTTTCATGTGTATAACAGGACAGGCTTAAACAGGTTTGTACCTGGCAAACCCAGGGCGTACGGGGCATGCCAGTTTCTGGGATCTCAGGTAAAAATGGGGATAGGAGCAGGCATTCCTCAGCTTATCACCTCCTAGTTCACAGAGATAGAACATCAGCAGCTTGCTGTAGTCTGAGCTATTAGGTTTGCTCTAGGGAAGGAGGCAAGAAATTCAGTCTATCTTTCATACATTTCCAACCTGTGTGCAAAAACAATCAGACATAACTCTCCAACACCCACAGGGTGATCTGAGACATGGTGGGTAAAGATGAGCAAAACTGTTAGAGCAACAAAGAAGGCTCTTATCTGTGCATTATAAGTCCCAGCCTCAAACATGCCATGCCATGCCATGCCCCTCTGAAATTTAAACCACCCTGATACCAAGCACTTGCCTATTTCGGGTGTCTAAAATAACACCGGGCCAAGTCAATTAAGTTGGGCCCAGAGGAAGAGCTAACAGGACCCCAGCATGGCTCTAAGGGGTCTTAGTAACTTCTGAGAATTCAGAAGTGGAAGTGTTTGCATATAAGAGCTACATCTGGGCCTGCAGCTCTCAGGGCCCTTGACTTAATTCCTTCTGGGGAGGAATATCCAGGCAGGAATAGAGAATCAGGATGTAGCATGCAACCACGATGAGGAATCAGCAGAAACAGAGCCACCCTTGCTTGGCTCAGAAACCAGATACCAGGCGCTAGGCAGGAATTCGCCCCTGGGAAGCTGTTGCTTAATCCTCTAGTTCCTCAGGCTCCTGGCCTCCTTGACAAAGGCCAAGCCAAACAGGGATCCCAGGTGAGGCCAGGCTGCCCAGCCAGTGCCAGCTCATTCAGGATTAGACTAGGGCTGGGAGGAGCCCAGGCAAACCTTCAGGATGTCAGGCACTGAACAGAATCCCAGAGGTAGGCAAGTTGCTGCAGCTCCAATAATCCAGTGGAAAAGTGCTAATTTCCCAAAGGCCTTTCATCACAAGGCCCAAGTAGTCTTTGGCCTGAGTCTAGCTAGAACCACTGGGATCTGGGATGAAACTGAGCAATTGCAGGTCTTGCTGGCGAGTGAAGAGAGGTTTGGCTGCAACTGGGTCCCAGTTGACCGGGTCACAAGGATCAGCCAGTTTCTAGGTGCAGAGTTGGGATCCGCGGCCTTTGCCCCTAAGCAGCCCCACTGATACCTCCAAGGAACTGTTTTAGTATAAAAGGGAGGGGGAAGGGAAAAGTTTATTCCATTATCGAAGGTGGAGGGTAGGGAGAAGAAGAACAGGAGATGGTTGTCTGAGTGTATTTATTTTCTTCTAAAATGTAAACTGAACTGGAAATGCCTACAGAAACACACAGGCACTTTGATCATCAGCCCACTGGGTGGGCAACATGTCTAATCTCTGCTCTGCCCTGCACATTGCAGGCACTTTACAGCTGTATAACGACATCTCCACCGTGGTGGTGGCCACATTTATTGGCTTTGTGACATTCATCAGGGCTTCCTTCTTATTAAAAATGCATGGGCTGCAGCTATTTGGAAGGACACCAGATATATTCACTCTAGGTAGAAAATATTTCTCCTTTCTCCAGGAACCCAAATGAAGCACCCCAGATCTTGGGGAATACAGAGAAGTGAGTGGGCAGAGAGTCTGTGGTGGCAGAGGTGGGACACAGAGCCGAGCTGTCCCCAGGTTAGGTGTCTCAGATGAAGGAAGTCCCCCAGACCGCATTTCCTCCTGGAGTGATTCTGCCTTATTGACTGTGATGGTAAAGAACTGACTGTGTATTTTCCATTTATTTACTCCCATATATTCTCCACTTTAATGCAGGGAGGTAAGATTAGGGAGTTGGCCCATTTCGTCCCTTTGATTTCTTGTCACTCAGCCCCAAATGCAGAAGCTCAGTGGACTAGCTGCTCCCAGGGAATGACAAACAGCTTGAACATTTCAAGGGACTAAAAGTTGATGGTGGCAGGTGAGAGAGGCCAGTGGGGGAGGAAAGAACCGGTCCTGAGGAGGCTCCTCCTCAATTCTGTTCAGTTTTTAAAACTAGAGTTTTTTCCTCTTAGTTCCTTCCCTTGGCCTTGAGGCTGTCCCAGTAGACACAGGGAGGTTGGGGCAGGGCTGGAGCCCTGCGGATGCTCTGATGAGTGAGAATGAGTCACCCGCTCAGGCCTCTTTCTGCTTAAGCAGAGGTAAAGGTCCAGCTTTGTAATAGCCGGAGTGTGAGGATCCCTCGCACTGATCTGCCCACAATGGGCCGCCGGCAGGCCCAGAGACCCTCAAGTCTCATCCTCAGTGGTCTACCGAGCTGTGCACGGCCAGCTTCCCTGAATTCACTCCAAAGTCCCAGCCAAGCCCCCTCTATGTATTACAGGTAGTTAGGCATGAAAGGGGCAGAAGAGAGGTCTCTCCATCACCCACTAGAAATCTCGGGTGATGATTCGGCAATGATCGCATCGCTTCTCTAAAAATGACAATTCCACCGCACCAGAAGAGACCATTTCCTGATGGTCCGCACCTGTTAACATCAAACTGTTAATCGAATGCAGGCTCCAGGGAGAAGCAACTTCCTGGGCATGCGTGTTAAGAGACAAAAAATGATGACGTTTGATGACCACTCCACCAGAAAAGGGAAGAAAGCCTGAGGGGCCTGCGTGGACCTCCCTAAACACACTGCGCATGCTCCATTCCAAACGGTATGGCGAGCACTGCGCATGCGGGAAACCCACCCTGTAAGGGAAGAATCCTGGGAAAGAGGCAAGCCTATGAAGTCCCAGGATCAAGGTTAAAGACCCTCTTTTTTACTGTCTTCTTGTGCTCTCTTTTCTCTCTTGGACCTTCAGGCGCCTGCTTGGGTCTCTTTCAAGCGAATTTTGCTTTCTTTCCTGTTCTAAAGCCTTTTAACTAAACTTCCACTCCTGCTCTGAAACTTGCTCTCTTTTTCTGCCTTAACGCCCCTCAGTCGAATTCTTTCTTCTGAGGAGGCAAGGACTGAAGTTGCTGTGGACCCATAGGGATTCGCCATTGGTAACTCGGGGTAACTCGGCTCTCTTCCACTGCTGACGTATGTAGCAAGTCCTGTCTTCGGGTTGGCAGGCACCACGGCTGACACCACATGCGCAGAGAGAGGGGAAAGACCAAGAAGTGACTCATGACATCACCCTCGTCTCTGAAAGACAAGATGTTGGTCTCCTCAGGTGCCGTGCAGTCTTCAGTGTTGGCTGCAGCCACAGCCCCTGCAATGCAGACCAGGATGAGGGAAAGCCGCTGGAAGAGGCCTACAGCATTTTTTATTAGTAAATCCAGAGGACGTGTTATATAAAGTGTAAGACAACCACCATTGCATGCATTTATTCATTCACTCATTCAGTAAGGAATTTTCCATTTCTTTATAAATGAGTAAAAGGTACAGGCTGGGTGGCCTTGGCCAGTATCCCATTAATGAAAGACAGATTTGAATAAAAATGTGTAAGGTCTCAAATACCAGGTTACTTACTGCTTTAGATGGTATTCAGAGGGGAGCCATTGAAAGTTTATAATGAGAAGGAAAACAAACATGATTTTCTGGTTCCTAATACTTTCCCATGGACAGTAACTATTTGCCTACAGATTGAGCAAACCATGGTGTTCTGTAAGATGCCTGGATTGTTCTGAGCACCAGGACGCTGGCTGCAAGGTGCGGGGCCCTTCGTCCACCGGGGTCTGTCCTGGTTCCTGGGCGAGCTGTGGCAGGGTCTTTCTGGCAGTCCACCCAGTGCCCTGTGGCAGGCGATCAGGAAGCAGAGGCAGAGCAGCTGGGGGAGGACTGGGATGACTGAACCTCTCCTGCTTAGGTTCAGGGGCCCTCCCTTCAAGGTGCGGCCTGTGTGAGACACGCATCCACAGCCCGGTAACCAAAACTGGCACACCCAGCACAGTCACCTCCACGGCAGCACATGACCTACATCAGCCAGTCAGCAGCTCTTACTGGGGAGCTCCTAGGTCCAAGTGCATGTGCAGCAGGACAGGGAGGGGGGCTTACCTACATTGAATTAGCAAAGTGAGATATACACACATGAGAAGTTCCAGAAGTAGCAAAGGATCACGGATGGTTGCAGAAGCTGATTGGGGTGGAAGGAAGGACTTCGAGAGGAGATGGCACTGGAGCTGGGAGTTGAGGGAGAACTAGAGTGAAATTAGGAAACACGAAGATGAGAGGGTGTTTTGGCCATGGTGATAAAAAAGGAGTGGGAGGACACGCGTGAGGTGTGCTCCAGAGAGGTGAACACTCACTATGGCAGAGCCCATTTTGGGGGCGGGTGCCATTCATTGGCCATTAAGGTGGCAAAGCTAGGTTTAAACCAGCCTTTCTATGTTTCTGAAAGTCAGGCTGAAGGTTTGGACGGTCTTCAGAGAAGAACCATGGAAAGTTTTTGGCAAAGAAACCAGATTCAGTGAGACGGTGTTGATGGAGAATTCAGTCTGTGCCAGGGATTGTGTTAGGGACTGGGGGTTCGACCGTGTTAAGACACGGTCTCTGTCTTTAGAGAGTATCTAACTGGGGGAATATGACACATAAGAAACAGATATTTTTGGTTTAACGTGATAAGGGCTGTGGTAAAAATATTCAGAGCAAGTTGTTGCAGCTTAGGAGAAGGGCAGGACACCTGGTTTTGTGGAACACAGGGAGGGAAGAGGAGGGAGTCAAGTGTGAAAGTCAGTGTACACAATGGGAGGGTTTGTACCTTCTGAGGGCGAGAGGCGGGGAAGAGATGTGGACCAGACGTGGACTCCAGCCTGGGGAGTGGCAGGGAGGATGCCGGAGCGATTCAGGAGGTGGATGAACCAGGTGAGGGTGGGAGAGAGTGGGAAGTGGTCGTTAATTGAGGTGGATGAGTCCAGCAGCCCTCTGACGAGTGGACAGGAAGGTACTAGAAGGTAAAGACACCCATCAGGAATGAAGGAACCTGGTACAAAGTGAGAAAAGCTGGAATGGAGAAGGAACAAGACAAATAGGCTCTTGGAATGGTTCAGCTGCCTTGCTGAGAGTGGTCTGTGAAAGCGGGGATCTTACTGCAGTGAGGTTTCTCTTTTAAATAAGTCTGCTCCTTCTTTCTGTTACATCAAAAGAAGAAGAAAATTCCTCAAAACCTCCCAAAGACCACCACGGCTAACACTTTGGAAATATTTCCTTCAGATCATTTTTCCTACATCGATTTGTGTTTGGTTTTAACATGGTTCTAATCACACTGTGGATCCTGCTGCCTTTAACATCCTAGCGTGTATATTTCTCTGCATGTTAAATTTATCCTGGCTATGACAGATGTTCATGTTTCCATGTAGATTTACGTGAAGATGCTCACTTTGCCACTTTTTGTTTCTTGCTTCACAGTAAACTTTGAAAATGTTGCTCCGTTCCCTTCCTTCCCATACCCCCCTCACTCACTTACCTCACTCACTCACCTCGCTCACTCACCTGGCTCACCTCGCTCACCTCACTCACTCACCTCACTCATCTCATTCACTCACCTCACTCATCTCATTCACTCACCTACCTCATTCACTCACCTCGCTCACCTCGCTCACTCACCTCATTCACTCACCTCACTCACCTCACCTCACTCACTCACCTCGCTCACTCACCTCGCTCACTCACCTCGCTCACTCACCTCATTCACTCACCTCACTCACCTCACTCACTCACCTCACCTCACTCACTCACCTCGCTCACTCACCTCGCTCACTCATCTCGCTCACTCACCTCACTCACCTCGCTCACTCACCTCACTCTCTTGCTCACTCACCTCACCTCACTCACTCACTTCACTCACCTCGCTCGCTCACTCACCTCACTCGCTAGCTCGCTCACTCACTCGCCCCAACCTTCTTTCTTTCCTTCCTTCTTCTTTTTTTTTTTTTTGGAGATGGAGTTTCGCTCTTGTCACCCAGGCTGAAGAGCAGTGGCGCAATCTCCGCTCACTGCAACCTCCGCTCACTGCAAACTCCGCCTCCCAGGTTCAAGCGATTCTCCTGCCTCAGCCTCCCGTGTAGCTGGGATTAGAGGCGCCCACCACCACACCTGGCTAATTTTTGTATTTCTAGTAGAGACGGGGTTTCACCATGTTGGCAGGCTGGTCTCGAACTCCTGACCTCAGGTGATCTGCCCGCCTCAGCCTCCCAAAGTGCTACAGGCATGAGCCACCGCGCCCGGCCTCTTTCCTTCTTTCTTATAGTTCCTAGTTCTCTTCTTACTGCCTCCCTTCATTTCCAGGGTCATGAATAGACATTTTCTTTCAAATCAGCAAGTTTCTTTTTAAGACATACACCAGAGAATATCTCTAAGGCCTAAACTCTCAGAGGTTTCAAGTCACCTGCTGGGCAGAGGAAGGATTTCTGGTGATGGAGGCCTCACTCCAAGGGGCGAGGGACTGGCGGCTGATGACTCCAAGGCAGGGACACTTGTCAAGATGAAGAGGAAGGGAAGGCGAGACTGGGCCCAAGCAGATAAAGGTGTTTCCTGGATTTTTCAAGGCCATAGAGGCTCAGAAAGAGGGGACTATAACACATTCCATTTAGAGGGGGAAAAAATGTATGGTGTATCAACTAAGCCACTGGCCCACATTTGGGAGGAGTTTTAATATTAAAGAGCAGGGCCGGGCGCGGTGGCTCATGCCTGTAGCACTTTGGGAGGCTGACGCCTGTAATCCCAGCACTTTGGGAGGCCGAGGAGGGCGGATTACGAGGTCAGGAGATCGAGACCATCTTGGCCAACATGGTGAAACCCCGTCTCTACTAAAAATACAAAAATTAGCCGGGCGTGGTGGCAGGTGCTAATCACAGCTACTCGGGAGGCTGAGGCAGGAGGATCGCTTGAACCTGGGAGGCGGAGGTTGCAGTGAGCTGAGATTGTGCCACTGCACTCCAGCCTGGTGACATAGCAAGACTCTGTCTCAAAAAAATAAAATAAAATAAAATAATATTAAAAAGCAGGAGTTCCCAACCCTGCTCTAAAATACCTGTAGGTCCATGGCCTGTTAGGAACAAAGCCACATAGCAGGAGGTGAACAGCAGGCAAGCAAGCAAAGCTTCATCTGTTTTTACAGCCGCTCCCCATCACTCCCATTACTGCCTGAGCTCTGCCTCCTGTCAGAACTGCTGCAGCATTAGATTCTCATAGGAGCTTGAACCCTATTGTGAACTGCACATGCGAGGGATCTAGGTTGCTCCTTATGAGAATCTAATGCCTGACGATCTGTCACTGTCTCCCGTCACCCCCAGATGGGACCATCTAGTTGCAGGAAAACAAGCTGAGTGAGGATTCCCACTGATTCTATACTATGGTGAGTTGTATAATTATTTCCTTATATATTACAATGTAATAATAATAGAAATAAAGTGCACAATAAATGTAATGCACTTGAATCATCCCGAAACCATTCCACCCCCCAACCGTGGAAAAATTATTTTCCACGAAACCAGTCCCTGGTGCCAAAAAGGTGGGGACCACTGGTATGGAGTGTTTCCAGTGAGGCTTCATAAGAACCAGTTTGTTCTTCCTTTGCTTCCTACCTAATAGGTACACACAGCCTGTCTCTCTCTCTCTCCCCCGCAACCCTGTGTCTCTCTCTCCCCCGCAACCCTGCGTCTCTCTCTATGTCTCTCTCTCACACACACATACTTTCTTTTTCTCTATCTCTGTGTGTGTGTCTCTCTCTCTGTTTCTCTCTCTCCTTGGCTCTCTTTCTCTCTCCTTTAACCCAGTGAAATTTCCAAAGGAGCCTTTGTTCAGTACACATGATAACAGGTTTCCTTTGTCCCATATGCCTACCACTGTCCCCAGCCCTTGTATATGTATTTCTCACAACACTTTCAGGAGGAAGATACCATCATTATGCACAGAAAGGATACCTCGCTTGTCCACAGTCACACAACCAGTCAGTGTCAGAGGCTGGATTAGAACTCAGATCACCCGCCTCCAAAGTCCATTCTTTTAACCACTGTGCCATACTCTGATCTCGCTATATTATATTCTTTCAACTTCATGGTTTTCAAAGAGAAGATAGAATCACAGTGGGATTTTATTGCAGAGACAAACATTACGTTCAAAGTTCTTTTGACCTGAATGTAGATGATGTACCAAAGACTCACAATTTCTTGCAGTTCAGTCATTGGGTGACTGCTTTATCCAGCCAGGCAAGGAGTAACCCAGGAAAACATTTTGCCTTTTCCTAAGCTGTCTGGAGAACAGCTAGGCCTTTGCCTTAATAGTGTAGCCTGGCCTTAGCGATGTTGAGGCTTTGTGTTCATCTGACTTCCATGACCAAGGGCCTCAGAGTGAGGACAATGTGTTCCACTGGCTTGATCTAATGAGAATATCATTGCCTGTGCCTGGTGTGTTGCGGCAGTCCACCCCCTCATCCCCCAGTGCCCCCATTCCTGTCTCTGTACTGACTAGCAGAGTAAGGAATCTATAGAGTACAGAACTCTATCTGGAAGACGAAATCGCCAGTGTTGATTTCTAAAGCTCCCTTTTGTGCAGCTTGCTTCTGTGAGGATCTTGAAAGACTTTCACTCTGCAGCAGCCAGGACTGGAGTCCACTCACCCCCACTAGCCACATGCTTCCTGCCCCAAATGTCAAGGTTTTCATTTGACCATGGTATAATGAGCTGTATAAAATTAAAAACAGCTAAATACCACCTTATTTACAGTAATTTTCTATTTTCTGTGCTCATCACCGAAACCTCTCCTTAACAACGCCAACCTCCAGATCATACCAATCACCTCTGAGAAGCCCAATCACTACAACCACTAACCACAACATAAATCAACGTGAGGACCTGAGAGCTCGCTTGCTCCCACTCTGTCCCTAGCCCAGCCTGGTTTTTCCATCACATGCTTCTTAGGCAGCAGGGAGCTGAGGCAGGGGGAACATTTAGTTCCTTTTTCAAAGACTGGGAACACTTAAAAATATCTCCAAGTAAGCAACCAGCATTCAGAGGATGCTTATTTACACTTTGTAGGAGCCTGGTGTTGGGACTCTGGCTCCTGGATGGCGTCAAACCTGCCCTTGGGCTTGGCCGAGGCTGGTCTGGGAGTACCATTTGCAAATGGCTCTTGCTTCACGGTTGCATCTCCATCTGGGTAAACAACCTAGCGACAGCGCTGGCTCTTCTTAAGGCTGTCTGTTATGGACTGAACTGTGTCCCTCTCAGATTCACTTGTTAAAGTCCTGACCCCAGTACACCTCAGAATGTGACTGTATATAGAAATAGGGCATGTAAAGCAGTCATGACGGTTAAGTAAGGTCATATGGATTGGCTCTAGTTCAAACGTGACTGGTATCCTTCTAAGAAGAGGAAGAGACACCAGAGCTCACTCTCTTTCCACGCACACAATGGCCATGTGAGCACACTGTGAGAAGATGCCATCCGCAAGCCAAGAAGAGAGGCCTTGGGAGAAACCAAACCTGCTGTCACCTTGATCTTGGACTTCCAGCCTCAAGAACTGTGAGAAAATAAATTTCTGCTGTTTATTCCACCCAATTTGTGGCATTTTGTTATGGCAGCCCAAGCCAACTAAGATACCATCCATGTAATTTCTTCTTGTATGGCAAGGTCTTAACATGAGACATGAATGAATCAATGGCCATTTCTATGCAGAAATTTAAAAGCATTCTTGAGTTCTCATGGGGAGATTTAAATTCTCCATATATGAACCCCTCTAGCCTGTACTTTCTTATAGGAAAATTCTCTGTGAGATTGGAATATTCCAGAAGTTAACCAAAAGGATCTTAATTTACACTCTATCTCCTATTCCTCACATTCCTAGTACTGTTAATTACTCTCCTTCCTCAACCTCTGCTCCATCCCTTTGGCAAGCCCATGCATTTAGTAGATGTTTATTGAGTGCTTCTCTAGGCCAGCTTAGGCTTTAGGCACTGGAGGTACGGGAATGAAGAAAACAGATAAGGCACGTGCTCTCACGTGGCTTCCATCCTAGCAGAGGAAAACAGAAATAAAAATAAATAAATAAATAAATAAGGACTATGTCAGATAGTGAAAAGCTATTCAGGAATTTTAAATACAGCAATGCAAGAATGACTGAGAGCCTGCTTTGGTTAGGCAGACAGGAACTCTGTCCTTTCCAACTAAAAACCATTCTACTCCCTCTTCTCTTCTTTCCATCAGCATAACTACCCCTTGAGTGCAAGCTCCTGGGCTGGGCTCCTGCAAAAGCATTCTAATTGACCTCTCTGCCACCTCCTTTGCACCACTGCAGTTCATTTTCCACATAGCAGCTAGGGAAATATGTAAAAAACAAAGCTGGTTTTCATTATTCACAATAGCTGTGTTCTATAAAGTTGCTTCAAACCCTGAATTCTGGAATACTGAAGCATTGCTCCTAGGGGAAACACAGGGTTAGGTTCCTATGAGCCTCTGATCACCCATCAGTACATAACTTTGTTTTATGTGTATTTCTGTGTAAAGACACCTCATTTAATATATATTGTTGACTCATTAACATTGAATTCATGGCTAACAGCACAATAACTCATGCCTGAGCAAAACTTATCTGACATACATATTTTCTACATAAGGCACTTTCTGGCCTTCCCGTGCTTATGAACACTGGACAGCACTTCAGTACTAGTCTGTAGTGGGGGCAGGAAAAGTGGACATTTTAAGCAACAAAATCACCAACAAAGAGCCAAGAAAAATGTAAAATAAGATGGCACTAAATAGACCACAAAAAGGTCACTTGTTTATAGTAAGAGAGCTGAAACAAGAAGAGAGCATGTCACTTTGACCTCAGCTAGCAACCCGCAGGTTAGGTGACTCACATTTTTTGCTTTGCTCATGTCTGTGAATGACTGCAAACTTGTCACCCAGTATTGGTCTTGGGGTAATATACAGGTATTCCTATGGTTTAAATGTATCCCTTCCAAAATTCAGGTGTTGCCAATGTGACAGTATTGAGAGATGAGGGCTCTAAGAGGTGATTAGGACATGCAGGCTCCTCCCTCTTGAATGGGATTAAGGTCCTTATAAAATAAGCTTCACACAGTGTTAGCTCACTTGCCCTTCAGCCTTCTGCCATGTGAAGACACAGCATTCCTTCCCTCTGGAGGACACAGCAACAAGGCACCATCTTGGAAACAGAGAGAAGCCTTTGCCAGACAACCAAACCCGTTGGTGCTTTTATCTTGGACTTCCCAGCCTCCAGAACTGTGAGAAAATAGCTTTCTGTTCTTTATAAGCTAGCTACTCGGTCTCAGCCATTTTGTTTTAGTAGCACAAACGGACTATTTTTGGTATTCTCTCAGGAATATTTCTCTGTATTCCATCAGCGAGCTACACATGCTTCCTGGGAGTTGATACGCATAGGAATAATAGACTCACGGTAGCA